>NC_000012.12:38823764-38975279 GCF_000001405.40 Homo sapiens | reverse complement strand
AGCTAAAAAATATTTGAATAATATGGAAATTGTTTAAATAGCAATACAATTAAAATAATTCAATCTTGTGTGTTGTCTGTGTTTATTACTCAAATTATCTGACAGTGTCTCTTACAAAAACTGGAAAAACTGCTGAATAAACTTTATCTGCCTTATGTGAACTACTATATGTTGAAATGCTGAGCTGAATAAGATTGTTTCTTGGTTCTCAAAGCAAGCTTCTTAAAAATACGTTGGAGAGTTTTTAGTTCAGTAGAAGGCTCGTGAACCCAGTGAAACTTGGTAGATCTCTGGCAAAAAGTAGCATTTTGTATTAACTTTTCAGCAGAAAATACTTTTTTAAAAAAATTGGAACATATCTGATTTTCATTTTGTATTACCTGATTTTTTTCTTAGGAGTAAAATAAGAAAACATAATTTCTGATTTTTGTGACTCAAAGATATCTCTAAGCCCAAGTTTCCTGGTGAGGGTCAGGCATTTAAAGAAATTATTTATTTATCTTTTCCAAACAGTGGCTTAAGTATTTACTGCACCAAATTAACTATTAAATGATGACTAGGGTATTGAGGAGCAGTCATGAAGTAGGAGGAAACCAAGAGAAAGTAAGGGTCCAAGAACCAAGTGAAGAAAGTCTTTCATGAAGTAAGACCTCTCAGTGAAATGCTATGGGTAGGTCAAGTAAATAGGCACTGAGAAGTGACCATCAGGTTGATCAAAGGGAGTGTTGTTAATGAACATGGTAAGAGGGGATAAGGTGAACTGGAGAAGGTCTAAGAGAGAATGGGGAAAAGGAGTGACTAGAGAACACTCTTTAGTGGAACTTAGCTGTAAGGGGCAACAGAGATTGGGCAGTTGTTGGAGGAAATGTGGGTATGGAGTTAAAGTTTGCTTTGTTTTTGTTTTTAAGATGAGAGATTTTACAGCATGGCTGGTATGAAAAATAAGATGGATAAATACAGATAAAAACTGATGAAAGGGATGAGAGGTAAAAACTTCAGGGAAAAACTTAAATTTCTTTCCTTAAAGAAAGTGTGAGTGGAAGGAATTTAATGTACAAATAAAGATTTAGCATTAGATAAAAGCACAGAGAATTCATTCATCCCAATGGGATAGAAAATAGATGTGTGTTGGTAGGGATATTGGCTGATTTGTAAATTTGGTGGTGGAAAGGTGGAATTTCCTTTTTAATGGCTTATCTTTTTTCAATGAAATAAACAATGTTATCATCTGAGAATGAGGATAAAGAGGTGTTAGAAATTTGAGGAAAGGAAGATGAGAGAAGAAGAAAAATGAATTGATGAGAGAGATTAATGTGATTGTTATTTAGCACCAAGGGCCCACTTAAAGTTACATCAGTTAGCATGATTTGTGATTTCTCCAACCAGTTTCAGCTGTTTTGGTGCAAGTGGGAATTAGATGGAGAGTAGAATTTAGTCAAGTTGGGAATTTGGCCACGAGAATAAAAAGGAGGGAGAGAGTAGAAAAGACATGGAAGGATAAAAGAGAATAATTATAATGATGGAACATGGAATTTGAGTTAAGCAAGAAAAGACATGCAGGATATGAGGGACAAAAAAATTGATAGGGTCAATAGATCAAAAGTCACAGTGAGCTGGAGGAATTGCTGGAGAGAGGGAGAGGGTTGGGAAGATGGCAGTTGGGGAGTAGGGGAGCGGGATTCTTGAGATTAACTTTATGTGGGCAGTGTCTGTTCAATGACTACCACTCATAAATGCGTATGTTTGGTTGTTGTTTTTTTGTATGATTTAAAAATAAAGTTCAGGCAATAATTTGGTGATGTCTACAATCTATGTTTAGAGGTACTCTCTAAGCTTGAAAAGACTGAGTCAAAACCCACTATACACCTATTAGAATGGCTAAAATCTTCTAAAAACCTGGCAATACCAAGTGCTGGTGAGGATGCAGGACAATAGGAACTCTCATTCAGGAATGCAAAATGGTACAGCCACTTTGGAAGACAGTTTAGCAATTTTCATAAAAGTAAACATAGAGTTACCATGACTTATGCCTACATAAAAACCAGCACACAAATATTTATAGTGGATTATTAATAATTGCTAAAAGCTGGAAGCAACCAAGATGTCCTTCAATAGGTGAATATATATAGCAATGACATCCCAGTAGCAACAAGCACACTTAGCACTCAGATCTTGGTGTCTAAAAACATTCTCCAATGTAAGGTACCAGGCCAGGGATCCCTGGAGAAATGACTGTTTTTAAGGATGAGACAGGAAATATACAAGATGAGTCTGGAGCATAATATAGTTCCAAAATTTATGGAAGTTTTCAAAAATGACATGATGGGAATATGCCAAAGGGACACAGGAGCCAACATAAGGATAAAATAAATATCTATAGGCCCAAATGATATGACCAAATGATTGAAAATAAGTAAATGTGGGGAAAGAGACACATCTCCCTTAAAGAAGAATTCTAAATAATTTATAGAAAGACTTCCCCCTCAACTCTCAGCTACACTTGGTGACTTCCTTCCAAAGAGCACATTATAGAACAGGGGAGAAATAAAAAAGTAACCGTACAGTGGAGAAACCTGACAAACACTACCTCAGACTGATGGTCAAGGTTAATATCATAAGTGATAAATTGTGTTGATGGTACGTACTCGTGGTCTGTTATGTTGAAAATGACACTTCACCCATTATGAGCTTCCTCTCAAAAAGTCATAACCCTAGTCTAACTATGAGAAAAACATCAGGCAAACTCAAATTGAAGGATATTCTACAAAATACCTGACCAATACCATTACAAACTGTCAAAGTTATTAAAATCAAGGAATGCCTGAAAAACTGTTACAGTTCATAGGAACCTGAGGAGACATGATGATTAATTGTAATGTGATATCTTGGACAAGATCCTGGATCAGAAAAAGGCCATTATGGAAAAAACCTAATGAAATCTGAATACAGTGTTGAATTTAGTTTATAATTATGTATAAATATTGGTTAATTAATTATTGACAAATATACCATAGCAGTATGTTAACATACTGTTACCAAGATGTTAACAATAGGAGAAAGTGGATGCAAGGTATATGGAGACTCTGTACTATCCTTGAAACTTTTCTGTAAGTCTAAAATTGTTCTAACACAAAAAAGTTTATGAATAAGAAAGTATATGGAGCTTCATAAGGGTCCATATTTTCGCCTGAAATTTAGCATTGTCTTCCCAGTAGGAGTCATTGCAGTCACTGTTAAATTATCTTTTTAGGTCATCACCATTTCAACTTCCCATTCATTATGACTTCCTCCAAAGAAAGTTGCTGTGATACCAATATGGTACTTGAAACAAACGGGCTGGTTATCTTAAGCTTGTACACAATGTAAAACAATTATAGAACTATAAATATCTTTTTAATTTCAAGAGCTTCCAGCCGTTTATACTATTCTAATGAAAATGTTATTAAAATCCAGATTGCGCCCAGTCTTAAATTTATGGTTGACCCAGGATTAGAGAGATGCAATAAATATCATGTGGATATACTTAATGATTTTCACAGTTTGTGACCCCTAGTATTATCAGCATGAGACAAATAAACTCATGTCTTTATTGAATAAATGTCTGTTGTGGGCCTCCTGTGTGACAAGCATTGTGCTACCCGCTGGGATGCCATGAAAGAGCAAGACATCATCTCAGGCCTCTGACATTGACATCCTTCTTTAAGAAACTATGTCAGGGGCAAATGGAAAAGAGAGAGTAAATTGTGGCAAAAGACCAAGCATCTTGCCAAACTGTTTTAAAGTCCTGGATGTTGATACTGAGCCCAAATCCCTAGGTCTATCTCCCAAAAAGGCCACAAAGCCCCGTGCAGGGACTCCTGCAGATCAGGAGAGACAGTAGGAGATTTTTCCAAAACTGTACTCTTTGTCTTTAATGACCAAAGAAAGAGGCATGAAACATTCCTCGCTGTGAGGAACATCTTACCCTATAACTTGACTCCCCAGAGATATTTGAAGTTTTCAGATGAACTTTTTAAGAGCTACATAAAACAGGAGAGACAGCTCTCATTACATGGCAGAGTGTCCCATCCCATCCAAATACCATGACTCTCCCTGCTGATGGGCCTCTTCTGCAGTAAGGATCTTTCAAGTGACTCCATTGAATTCTTAGCACTTTGAGACTATCCAGGATCTTTCATACAGTAGTTTTCAAAACACATGTGATTTTATAAAGAGAATGATTTCAAAACATATTGAAACTAATCACTTGACTATCACCTTTAAGATATTTCTTAACATTTTCTTAAACCAATATCTTGAACTTTTAAAACCTGAGTTCTTTTAGAACTAAGACATAAAATCCTTCATGCAGCATCCAACAACAAAAAGCTATATATTTGACCAAGCATGATAGGTTATGCCTGTAATCCCAGCACTTTGGGAGCCTGGGGGAAGGGAGAGGATTGCTTGAAGCTGGGAGTTTGAGACCAGCCTGGACAATATAGTCAGACCCCATCACTACAAAAAATATAAATTAAACATTAACAAAAATAAAAAGCTATATACAATTTCCTTGGCTTTTTAATTCTTCATAGTATATAAGGCTAGTGGAATTATTTTATGAGAATAAACAATATTAAAAAAACAGAGTTCAATGAAGATATTATGGTTGTCAATTCATACTACTTGAGAAACATGGAATTATTTTCAAACATAATCTAAAGACCAAATTTCTGACTATTCCTAACAGAAAATGTAAACTCAAACAAAGCATATATCAAAATAATGTTACCTCGTTCCAGGTTCAGCCTCAGTATGTGTAACAAGTGGGCAAGATGGAGGCTTTCTCACAAAATGTATTTCATATATTGATTATGGATTAATTTTTCTTATGTGCAAGCAAAACAAAGCCCTCTTGTTACTTTCCTCAGTGTATTGATACAGAAAGCAAACTCACTCAGCTTTTCCACACAAGGAAAACAAATGATACTGAAATTGGAAGGAAATTAGTGCCAATTAAAACAATTGTGCAGCTGTGAAAAGGGGCATATTTATACTTAGATTGCAGCCCTTATGGTATGCTTAATAACGGAAAATGTAACAATGTGATGTGTAAATCAAGGCTTATAATTTTCGACAAAGTTTTAACTTTTATTTTCAGATGATGCTATTTTTATTCTGGCTCACAAATTAGAGCATATTTGTGTAAATTACTTAAAATGCATGCTGGAAGGTTCATTGTACCATCACATTTTTCCATTTGCATTCCCCATTCCATCTGTCTTTTTTTTTCTGTGAGAAATCTGTACATGTTAAAATAGATTATTTCTTGAAGTATTAATTATGTACAAGAGAAAACCCAACTGTGAATGGGTTGTCATCATCAAGAGCTTCACAGTTTTACTCTTTATGTGCTTTCTTGTACGTGGTAGTACAGCGTTCAGAACTAGGCAGACATAATAATGTTAGTAGCAACAGCCTACATCCTCAGACATTTGCAAATGAATTTGTAGGTGACTTACAGACATACAAGTGAAGAGGCTCACAAACACTGAGCAGATAGACATGAAATGAAATATTCATATGCTACAGAAGTATACTATAGGCAACATTTCTTGAGGGAGCATGCAGGCTTTTGTGGAAACCTATGTTAATATAAAGGAGCTCCTCTGGTTGGTAGAAGATTTTGTGCATAGAGGGCTGGAGCCAAGATGGATGAATAGGAACAGCTCTGGTCTACAGCTCCCAGAGTGAGCCATGCAGAAGATGGGTGATTTCTGCATTTCCATCTGAGGTAGCAGGTTCATCTCACTAGGGAGTGCCGGACAGTGGGTGCAGCGCACCGTGCGTAAGCTGAAGCAGGGCGAGGCATTGCCTCACTCGGGAAGTGCAAGGGGTCAGGGAGTTCCCTTTCCTAGTCAAAGAAAGGGGTGAAAGACTGCACCTGGAAAATCAGGTCACTCCCACCCTAATACTGCGCTTTTCCGATGGGCTTAAAAAACAGCGCACCAGGAGATTATATCCCGCACATGGCTCAGAGGGTCCTACGCCCACGGAGTCTCACTGATTGACAGCACAGCAGTCTGAGATCAAACTGCAAGGCAGCAGCGAGGCTGGGGGAGGGGTGCCCACCATTGCCCAGGCTTGCTTAGGTAAACAAAGCAGCCAGGAAGCTCAAACTGGGTGGAGCCCACCACAGCTCAAGAAGACCTGCCTGCCTCTGTAGGCTCCACCTCTGGGGGCAGGGCACAGACAAACAAAAAGACACCAGTAACCTCTGCAGACTTAAATGTCCCTGTCTGACAGCTTTGAAGAGAGCAGTGGTTCTCCCAGCATGCAGCTGGAGATCTGAGAACGGGCAGACTGCCTCCTCAAGTGGGTCCCTGACTCCTGACCCCCGAGCAGCCTAACTGGGAGGCACCCCCCAGTAGGGGCAGACTGACACCTCCCACGGCCGGGTACTCCTCTGAGACAAAACTTCTAGAGGAACGATCAGACAGCAGCATTCGCGGTTCACGAAAATCTGCTGTTCTGCAGCCACTGCTGCTGATACCCAGGCAAAGAGGGTCTGGAGTGGACCTCTAGCAAACTTCAACAGACCTGCAGCTGAGGGTCCTGTCTGTTAGAAGGAAAACTAACAAGCAGAAAAGACATCCACGCTAAAAACCCATCTGTACATCACCATCATCAAAGACCAAAAGTAGATAAAACCACAAAGATGGGGAAAAAACAGAGCAGAAAAACTGGAAACTCTAAAAAGCAGAGCACCTCTCCTCCTCCAAAGGAAGGCAGCTCCTCACCAGCAACGAAACAAAGCTGGATGGAGAATGACTTTGACGAGTTGAGAGAAGAAGTCTTCAGACAATCAAACTACTCCGAGCTACAGGAGGAAATTCAAACCAAAGGCAAAGAAGTTGAAAACTTTGAAAAAAATTTAGACGAATGTATAACTAGAATAACCAATACAGAGAAGTGCTTAAAGGAGCTGATGGAGCTGAAAGCCAAGGCTCGAGAACTATGTGAAGAATGCAGAAGCCTTAGGAGCTGATGCGATCAACTGGAAGAAAGGGTATCAGTGATGGAAGATGAAATGAAATGAAGCGAGTAGGGAAGTTTAGACAAAAAAGAATAAAAAGAAACGAGCAAAGCCTCCAAGAAATATGGGACTATGTGAAAAGACCAAATCTACATCTGATTGTTGTACCTGAAACTGACGGGGAGAATGGAACCAAGTTGGAAAACACTATGCAGGATATTATCCAGGAGAACTTCCCCAATCTAGCAAGGCAGGCCAACATTCAGATTCAGGAAATACAGAGAACGCCACAAAGATACTCCTCGAGAAGAGCAACTCCAAGACACATAATTGTCAGATTCACCAAAGTTGAAATGAAGGAAAAAATGTTAAGGGCAGCCAGAGAGAAAGGTTGGGTTACCCACAAAGGGAAGCCCATCAGACTAACAGCGGATCTCTCAGCAGAAACTCTACAAGCCAGAAGAGAGTGGGGGCCAATATTCAACATTCTTAAAGAAAAGAATTTTCAACCCAGAATTTCATATCCAGCCAAACTAAGCTTCATAAGTGAAGGAGAAATAAAATCCTTTACAGACAAGCAAATGCTGAGAGATTTTGTCACCACCAGGCCTGCCCTAAAGGAGCTCCTGAAGGAAGCACTAAACATGGAAAGGAACAACCGGTACCAGCCACTGCAAAAACATGCCAAAATGTAAAGACCATCGATGCTAGGAAGAAACTGCATCAACTAATGAGCAAAATAACCAGCTAACATCATAATGACAGGATCAAATTCACACATAACAATATTAACTTTAAATGTAAATGGACTAAATGCTCCAATTAAAAGACACAGACTGGCAAATTGGATAAAGAGTCAAGACACATCAGTGCGCTGTATTCAGGAAACCCATCTCACGTGAAGAGACACACATAGTCTCAAAATAAAAGGATGGAGGAAGATCTACCAAGCAAATGGAAAACAAAAAAAGGCAGGGGTTGCAATCCTAGTCTCTGATAAAACAAACTTTAAACCAACAAAGATCAAAAGAGACAAAGAAGGACATTACATAATGGTAAAGGGATCAATTCAACAAGAAGAGCTAACTATCCTAAATATATATGCACCCAATACAGGAGCACCTAGATTCATAAAGCAAGTCCTTAGTGACCTACAAAGAGACTTAGACTCCCACACAATAATAATGGGAGACTTTAACAACCCACTGTCAACATTAGACAGATCAACGAGACAGAAAGTTAACAAGGATACCCAGGAATTGAACTCAGCTCTGCACCTAGTGGACTTAATAGACATCTACAGAACTCTCCACCCCAAATCAACAGAATATACATTTTTTTCAGCACCACACCACACCTATTCCAAAATTGACCACATAGTTGGAAGTAAAGCTCTCCTCAGCAAATGTGAAAGAACAGAAATTATAACAAACTGTCTCTCAGACCACAGTGCAATCAAACTAGAACTCAGGATTAAGAAACTCACTCAAAACCACTCAACTACATGGAAACTGAACAACCTGCTCCTGAATGACTACTGGATACATAATGAAATGAAGGCAGAAATAAAGATGTTCTTTGAAACCAACGAGAACAAAGACACAACATACCAGAATCTCTGGGACACATTCAAAGCAGTGTGTAGAGGGCAATTTATAGCACTAAATGCCCACAAGAGAAAGCAGGAAAGATCCAAAATTGACACCCTAACATCACAATTAAAAGAACTAGAAAAGCAAGAGCAAACACATTCAAAAGCTAGCGGAAGGCAAGAAATAACTAAAATCAGAGCAGAATTGAAGGAAATTGAGGCACAAAAAACCCTTCAAAAAATTAATGAATCCAGGAGCTGGTTTTTTGAAAATATCAACAAAATTGATAGACCACTAGCAAGACTAATAAAGAAGAAAAGAGAGAAGAATCAAATAGATGCAATAAAAAATGATAAAGGGGATATCACCACCAATCCCACAGAAATACAAACTACCATCAAAGAATACTACAAACACCTCTACACAAATAAACTAGAAAATCTAGAAGAAATGGATAAATTTCTCGAAACATACACCCTCCCAAGACTAAACCAGGAAGAAGTTGAATCCCTGAATAGACCAATAACAGGCTCTGAAATTGTGGCAATAATCAATAGCTTACCAACCAAAAAGAGTCCAGGACCAGATGGATTCACAGCTGAATTCTACCAGAGGCACAAGGAGGAGCTGGTACCATTCCTTCTGAAACTATTCCAATCAATATAAAAAGAGTGAATCCTCCCTAACTCATTTTATGAGGCCAGCATCATCCTGATACAAAAGCCAGGCAGAGACACAACCAAAAAAGGGAATTTTAGACCAATATCCTTGATGAACATTGATGCAAAAATCCTCAATAAAATACTGGCAAACCAAATCCAGCAGCACATCAAAAAGCTTATCCACCATGATGAAGTGGGCTTCATCCCTGGGATGCAAGGCTGGTTCAATATATGCAAATCAATAAATGTAATCCAGCATATAAACAGAACCAAAGACAAAAACCACATGATTATCTCAATAGATGCAGAAAAGGCCTTTGACAAAATTCAACAACCCTTCATGCTAAAAACTCTCAATAAATTAAGTATTGATGGGACGTATCTCAAAATAATAAGAGCTATCTATGACAAACCCACAGCCAATATCATACTGAAAGGGCAAAAACTGGAAGCATTCCCTTTGAAAACTGGCACAAGACAGGGGTGCCCTCTCTCACCACTCCTATTCAACATAGTGTTGGAAGTTCTGGCCAGGGCAATCAGGCCGGAGAAGGAAATAAAGGGCATTCAATTAGGAAAAGAGGAAGTCAAATTGTCCCTGTTTGCAGATGACATGATTGTATATCTAGAAAACCCCACTGTCTCAGCCCAAAATCTCCTTAAGCTGATAAGCAACTTCAGCAAAGTCTCAGGATACAAAAGCAGGGTACAAAAATCACAAGCATTCTTATACACCAATAACAGACAAACAGAGAGCAAAATCACGAGTGAACTCCCATTCACAATTGCTTCAAAGAGAATAAAATACCTAGGAATCCAACTTACAAGGGATGTGAAGGACCTCTTCAAGGAGAACTACAAACCACTGCTCAGTGAAATAAAAGAGGATACAAACAAATGGAAGTACATTCCATGCTCATGGGTAGGAAGAGTCAATATAATGAAAATGGCTACACTGCCCAAGGTAATTTATAGATTCAATGCCATCCCCATCAAGCTACCAATGCCTTTCTTCACAGAATTGGAAAAAACTACTTTAAATTTCATATGGAACCAAAGAAGAGCCTGCATCACCAAGTCAATCCTAAGCCAAAAGAACAAACTTGAGGCATCATGCTACCTGACTTCAAACTATACTACAAGTCTACAGTATCCAAAACAGCATGGTACTGGTACCAAAACAGAGATATAGATCAATGGAACAGAACAGAGCCCTCACAAATAACGCTGCGTATCTACAACTATCTGATCTTTGACAAACCTGACAAAAACAAGAAATGGGGAAAGATTCCCTATTCAATAAATGGTGCTGGGAAAACTGGCTAGCCATATGTAGAAAGCTGAAACTGGATCCCTTCCTTACACCTTATACAAAAATTAATTCAAGATGGATTAAAGACTTAAACGTTAGACCTAAAACCATAAAAAGCCTAGAAGAAAACCTAGGCATTATCATTCAGGACATAGGCATGGGCAAGGATTTCATGTCTAAAACATCAAAAGCAATGGCAACAAAGCTGAAATTGACAAATGAGATCTAATTAAACTGAAGAGCTTCTGCACAGCAAAAGAAACTACCATCAGAGTGAACAGGCAACCTACAAAATGGGAGAAAATTTTTGCCACATACTCATCTGACAAAGGGCTAATATCCAGAATCTACAATGAACTCCAACAAATTTGCAAGTAAAAAAAAAACAACCCCATCAAAAAGTGGGCAAAGGACATGAGCAGACACTTCTCAAAAGAAGACATCTAGGCAGCCAAAAAACACATGAAAAAATGCTCACCATCACTGGCCATCAGAGAAATGCAAATCAAAACCACAATGAGATACCATCTCACACCAGTTAGAATGGCAATCATTAAAAAATCAGGAAAACAACAGGTGCTGGAGAGGTTGTGGAGAAATAGGAACACTTTTACACTGTTGGTGGGACTGTAAACTAGTTCAACCCTTGTGGAAGTCAGTGTGGCGATTCCTCAGGGATCTAGAACTAGAAATACCATTTGACCCAGCCATCCCATTACTGGGTATATACCCAAAGGACTATAAATCATGCTGCTATAAAGACACATGCACACGTATGTTTATTGCAGCACTATTCACAATAGCAAAGACTTGGAACCAACCCAAATGTCCAACAATGATAGACTGGATTAAGAAAATGTGGCACATATACACCATGGAATACTATGCAGCCATAAAAAATGATGAGTTCATGTCCTTTGTAGGGACATGAATGAAATTGGTAATCATCATTCTCAGTAAACTATCGCAAGAACAAAAATCCAAACACCGCATATTCTCACTAATAGGTGGGAATTGAACAATGAGAACACATGGACACAGGAAGGGGAACATCATACACCGAGGCCTGTTGTGGGGTGGGGGGAGGGGGGAGGGATAGCTTTAGGAGATATACCTAATGTAAATGACAAGTTAATGGGTGCAGCACACCAGCATGGCACATGTATACATATGTTACTAACCTGCACATTGTGCACATGTACCCTAAAACTTAAAGTATAATAATAATAAAATAAAAAAGAAGATTTTGTTCATAACAAAGATTTCAGAAGTTTCCAAATGATTAAAGAAAGCAATCTTGTTAAATCTAAGAAAGATATTTTGAGGGGATACACAAAGTGAGTGTCCTTGTGTGTCTCTTCAAAATGCCTTTCTTAGATTCAAAGATGCCTTTGACAGATTCAAAGTGGAAAGCATTAAAAAGCTTTTCAAAAGGAGGGAAATTGGCTGACTATAGCAAAGAAAAGGAAACAAGGGAGTCCAGGATGAATTGGAAAATTAGATAGTATTTATAATAAAACAGGAAAAACACTATAATTGATTTAACAGCAGATGAGTTAAATTTCCTAGTTACAAACCTTACTATGATGCTGAGTGTGAAGGATCACAGTGAACTGAATGTAGACCACACCCAAACCCAGAAATGGACAAAGTTAAACTGCAGACAAATTATTATAGCTGGATAAACATCACAATATGTTGTATGTCATTGTTTATGTTGGAGGTATGTGTAAGTATGCGTGTCTTTGCGGGTATGTGGGAGTGTAGAGCTATATACACAATTCACTCCCCTTCCCATACAACACACACACAAATGGAGACATTCAGTGATAAATCTGGTGGACTAAATAAGTATAATGTACTTTTAACTTGTGGAATCTCTAAAAAAGATAATGTAGGTGTGAACGTAAAGTAAAATGGAAAGTAATGTAAAACAGAATGTAGGGAAATAACCAAAGGTGTCTTCTCACTATGCTCGAAGCAGCATCCTGGTGAAGAAGTACCACAGCATGGAATAAGCCTGGGAGTAAGGTCAAGAGTGAGTCTGTCACTTGATCATGGTTTCAGATCAGATTAAAAGTACGATGAAGGCATTCCTCTTCTGCTGAAGGTGAATAAAAAAATAAGATTGTTTCTGGATAGAATGGGATCACCAGGATTGCATTTACCCTCCCACCTTAAACAACTAAAACAAAACCAAACAACAAGAACAACAGCAGCAACAACAAAAACAGAAAAAGAACGTAAGAACCAAGAGTTTTCTGGCAGTGCATAACAGGTAGTAAAGAGTACAGGACAATGAGAGGCTGAAACAAATGAGGTAAGAGCGTGTCCCAGTTTCCTGTCTGGAAAGAGCTCCCAGGCCGTTGTGCAGAGAGGGAACCCAGGAATAGCCCAGCTGACTCCGCAGGTTAAGAGACAGAGTTTGGAGTCTGAGGAGGCCAAGGCAGCTAAAATTTCCAGGGCAGGGGACCAGAGGAGAGAGAGCTGCCCTACATTTCTGTTAAAGCAGCCCCAAATTGCTAGAGTGAAAGAAATCAAATACTATAGAAATTGAGTTCTTACTAATCTACTAATCTAATCCACTGATCAATTCTAATCTAATTATAAAATGCTTTCAATTTTCAATTACCATTGAAAGGTACAATTTCTAATCCACAATAGCTCTTTCTAAAATCTAATTCTGTCACCCTCTGCAGCTGAACTTGTAAGGTACCTTCAATTCTCCTCCAACTTCCCAAACCCCATGAAGAAACTAGAGCGGCCCCGGTCTTTGCTCTGTTGCCTCCCCCACTGCTCACATCTCTAGACTTTCCCTACCAGTTCTCCATATTTCCATCACAAAAGCCCAAGGACTAATACCTAAAACTCTCCTTAAGGAAGAGGAAGCTGAGTGGGCTGAGAAAGATTCTTCTAAGCAGTGTTGGTGGAAGAGGAAAGCGGGAAGACGAGACATCTACATGTGCGTAAACTTGCTCTTTTTATAGACAGATAAAAGCTCATAGATATTTTGCATTCTCCTTTTGCAAAGAGTTAAATAATCTCAACATGGTCTACCCTAAGAGCAAAATAACTGCATACTGGGCATTCATCAGAACAGGCAATGCTGAATTTGCAGTTTGTAATATTTAATAGGAACCCACTGTGACAAAACTAGTAATTATTTCAACTCCAAGTATCTCCACATTCTTCATTTGGGAAAAAAACAAACTGCTAGAAAGGTTTTTTTTTTTTGACAATTTTCTGGCAAAACCTAAAAATATTGAATTTATTTGAAGGAAACAAACTAATTTAGAAGCCAAGAACAATATTTGAAGCCTCTATTGTTTTTCAAATAACAAGTCATCTATTTTAATCAGAATCTAACACACAAAACAGAGAGATGCCAGATCCCTTCCACATAGATTTTTATCAGTATATACGGAGCATTCAGTTAGCTCTCACAATCAATGCTAAATAAAACATACAAAGGTGATACTGAGCAGATGGGCTTATTAAAGTAATGCTAATAACTCATGAAATGTGTTAATCTCTTGAAAAGAAAGATAATCAAATGAGATTATTGCACATTCATGTACTCTAACTGCCAAGTTCTGAGTAAAATTCCTTGATTGCAAATTTTGAAGCATGAATTTTAAGCTGAGTGTTATAACTGCAAATAACATAATCAGAATTTTCCAAAGAGAAAATATTATTGAAAGATAAATACGAAACTGCATTAACATTTAAATTCTTTGATTTAAATGCTACCAGGCAAAGATGCTCATAGGATAAAAATAACCTACAAATAAAATCCTTTTCTCCTCAGAGCCTTGATTTTTATTTCAACACCAAACTCAAATATAACTTTTGCTCTCATCTACAAGCTTGAATGAATCACATAACCAATATCTTGTAGAAATAAAGATAATTTATCTGCATCTTCTTAGGCATAATTAAAAGTAGGGGAGAAATAGGACCTCTCAAGTGGAGGATACAAAGATGCCCTTAATTTGAGGCAATCTATTTACTTATAGTAATAAGAAATTTATGTCTAAGGCTTTGTATAAAAGTACAAATCTATACTGAGAGAAGTCATGGGATCTTTGCAATGAGGAAAACCTGAATAGGAGATAAGTAATGGCACTATTGGAACTCAATGGAGACAGGAGAAGAGGGTTGAGTAGAGCGCCAGGATTCACCAGGTGGAAACCATCTATCAACATCCATGGATAGTATTCTCAAATCCAAAAAGAAAGAAAAGCAAGTTTGGCCACATTTCTTAACCCCTCTTCAACAGACCTAATCTTGTTTTTCTGGCACTGTAAATTTCCCCCCAGTGGCAAATCAGAAAGAATTGCTTGATATGCCTTGAATCAAATTCCCCTCAACACTCAGTCTTAGAACTAGAGGGACCAACACTAATACCATTTACAATGCAAAGCATTATTAAATGTGTGCTATAAGACAAGCAGAGACCATGTGCTTTAGGGGAACCAGTGAGAGACCAACTCATTCCAATGGAAACATCCAGGGAAGTCTTGGGGGAATGGGAGTGGGATTAGCGATAGTGAGGAAAAGAAAGAGCTGTGGAGGGGGCAGTGGAATTATCATTTGAGAGAAGAGTAGACTATTACAAGTTAGAAAATAGGAAAAATAAAATTTCCAGGAAAGGGAAGAGAATGAGTAGAAACAAAGATTATAGGCTAAGATGTTTAAAGTTCTTGGTTTTCAGAAAGTTTTTCCTCAGCATCATATTATTGAATAAAATCTTCCTTTCTCACTGATTTTTAGTATTATTTTAGTCATATTTTAACTTCTTAGATGGACCAGTTTATCCAATGTAATATCTAAATTATCCCATTCCAAATATTTATTTGCCTTAGAGAACCTCTACATTACTAAATCCATATGCTATTAATAGCATCTCCCACATGTTAGTAATCTGTTTTTGGAACTCAAAAGTTTTGTCTGAGAAAACTAACCAATAGCCTAGGCTGGGTGTGGTGACTCACACCTGTAATCCCAGCACTTTGGGAGATCGAGGTGGGAGGATCACCAGAGGTCAGGAGTTCGAGACCAGCTTGGCCAACATGGTGAAACCCCATCTCCACTAAAAATACAAAAATTAGCCGGGCATGGTGGCACACACCTGTAATCCCAGCTACTCAGGAGGCTGACGCAGGAGAATAGCTTGAACCTGGGAGGCAAAGGTTGCAGTGAACTGAGATCACCTCATTACATTCCAGCCTGGGCAACAAGAGTGAAACTCCGTCTCAAAAAACAAAAAAACAAAAACAACTAACCAAGAGCCTATTATTATTTTAAAGAAAAAACTATAATGCATTATAGTTCATCCCAAATTCACCAGCAAATTTTCTGAAATTCAACTAAAACCTAGTAAATACAAATATAATAGGATACTGTGGTGTTAAGATCTATAGTGCTTTAAACATAGCTTCTACAGATCATCAGTCATTGTGTTTAAAAAACACAACTGTTGCTTTTTATATGGTAACGTAGATTTTGCATGCTGTACTATGGTAAATAGGCAGAAAAAAATAAATTTATTAGATATAATGTGCACAAAAAGTAACAACCAAAAACAGGAAAATTTTCTGTGATGAACTTTACTTAACAAGTAAGACAGAGACTTAAAACTTGTAGATGGAGGGGAGTTTAAATGCATATTCCCTCAGTATCCTTTTCAAAATGTCTAGCATATGATTCTAACAATGTACCCAATTGTATACAGAATGTAACTTGAACAGGTTTTTGCACATCCTTTAATTTTGTACTGAATTTGGAAGAAATTACTGTACTTTTTCTAAATAAATATTGTCTGATAAAACATGGATTGATAGATACTTGCATTCTATACATTTGGATACTAAAAACTAAGGAGCATGAAAAGCAGGTGAAATGTGAGTAAGGATTTATATTTGATTCAATGGTATTGTACCAAAGTACAATACCAGTATTGTTGTACCAGTATTGATTTCCTGGTTTTGACAATGTATTATAAGATGATTTCCGTGGGGGAAGCAGAGTAAAGAGTACATGGGGATTCTGTACTATTTTTTGGCAACTTCTTGTGAATCCAAAACTATTCCAAAATAAAACGTATTTTTAAAAAAGTATTAATTGAGAATATTAGGTGGAAGATGCCCGTACTTTGTTATTGTTGTTGATTTATTCTATCAGTTTATGCTAGGTTCAGAGAATTAGTTAAAGCTATTCTTTTAGGCTTAGGCTGGGTACAGTGGCTTACACCTCCTAGCACTTTGGGAGGCTGAGGTAGAAGGATCACTTGGGGCCAGGCGTTCGAAACTAGCCTGGGCATCATAAGGAAACCTCATCTTTACTAAAAAAGAAGAAGAAAGAAAAGAATGATTCTTTTAGCATATACTGTTGATATTTCACTTTAGAGATAGTTAGAATATATTATTATGATTTGATCACATTACTCTAAGTAGGTACTAAACCACTTGAGGTAAAAAAGAACTTTGATTGCATTTATATAACTTGTTGGTAAATTAGAGTCAAAACAGTGAATGAATTAATAGCTTCCAGCTGGAGGTATTTCTGTTCTATAAAATGTGATGAATTTATTCTAGGTTTTTAAAGTCAAAAGTAATAACTCATACAGAAATTAATCAGATTTGTGTTTCCATATTTTATAACAGCCTTACCATCACTAACTATATGCCAAATTTTAAGACTGTGGCTTTTGAGTGAGCAAAGGAGAATGGAGTAAAGAAATTCATAGTTACATAGCATCTATTGTGTATCAACCTCTACGGTAGGCACTTTCATTTTCTCATTAAATCCTAATGACTCTGACTCTGAAAGTCAAGTGTTACCATTCCCACTTGAAAGATATGAAAGTTGACTACAAGAGATTAAGCAGTTTTTCAAAGGTTTCACAGCTAGTATGTGGGGCCATGATTTAGCCTCAGATCTGCAGCTCTCATTCAGCCCTCACTCTCCTCCACTGAGAGGGCATGATGATACTGATTTGCTACTAGCTCAGTAATTGCACTTGTCTATAGAGATAATAAATCTTTGACTGATCTCTCCTTAGCATGGTATTCTGTATTGATCATTATGTCCTCCTAATCTTCCCGTACTTATGGAGAATACTTGTTCAAATGTGGGCTAAACTCTATTCCTGAGCACTTCTAATTTCCTATAGTGTTCCATATAAAAGATTCAGTAAGTTATTTTTACTCCAACAACAGAATCTACTCCTATCACCTCCACAAAGAAAGAATTTATTTAAATGGTATTAGGTAGGCCAGGCGCCGTGGCTCATGCCTGTAATCCCAGCACTTTGGGAGGCTGAGGTGGGCGGATCACTTGAGGTCAAGAGTTTGAGACCAGCCTGACCAACATGGTGAAACCTCATCTCCACTGAAAGTACAAAAATTAGCCAGGCATGGTGGCACATGCTTGTAATCCCAGCTTCTTGGAAGGCTGAGGTGGGAGGATTGCTTGAACCCGGGAGGCTGAGGTTGCAGTGAGCCAAGATCATGCCACAGCACTCAAGCCTGGGCAACAGAGCAAGACTCCAACTCAAAAAAAAAAATATTAGATAGATCACAGAATCTTCTCATGAGACAGAGAAGCTAAACAGCCAGACAAAATGTCCAACCATATTGTAGACATAGGTAGCTAAAATGTCATCTCCTACTACTGTATGGTTTCTGTGACACTCAGAACTGAACATCAGAACCTCTGGTAGTGTTTTTTCAACAAACCAGTGCCTATATCATACTAGCCAGAAAATCAACCTTCCTCAACACAACTTTGCCCACATAATACACATTTCCACACCCAAGACACATGTATACATGTATCATTGGCAAAATCTAGGTCATATGACTACATCTTGAGTAACCATTTGAGGTCCATTTGAGGTCCACTTGAGGAAACACCTTTCAACAGTGACACAAGTAAAATCTTCTTCCTGGCCTTCATCAAAATAACTTTAGCCATTTAGCCAGGTGACTATGTAATACAGAAGGGGAAATGTGTAGGAATTTCAGGGATAACTGAGCACTGGCTCTGAACTGACATAAATTCCAGAAGTCCTAAAATGCCTTCATGCTTCATTAGAGTGGGGATTTATGGAGGCCAGAAAATAAGTGAGGTTTTGGCTCAAATTTCTTTCAAAATAGGTCCCTAGGTCCATGAGTTCACTCTAGAGTTATTTCCCAGGTTCCTGAATTCATTGTTGGGGTAGATGATTCAGCAGTTGCTAAATAACATTCTTGCCAGCAGCAAAGACCTACACAAAGTATCTGATGCAGTACCATTTCTTACAGAACCATCTAACCCTTTCTCCTTTCATTATGGAAATGGCAGAAATTTGACTTTCACTGGATGCTTTATTCAACATCCTGGTATCCAACGACAATATTACTTCCGATCAAGGAACTAGTTTTATAGCAAAATAGCTAAAGCTCTTCTCTTAATCTCGTATTCATGATAATCAAAAGTATTACCACATACACTGTCAACAGAAGCTGCTAACATGAGAGAACTGTGCATAATATATTAAAAACTGACCTAGGTTGCAGATTTAGTAATGGACCATGAGGGGTTGATATGCTGTCCCAAAGATTCACTAGGTACTCTAAAACAGTATCCAGTTTATGGTGTCTTATCTCCCATATTCAGAATATATGGGTCTGGGAACTGAGGGTGGAAAAGAGATCAAGAATTTTTTGTGCTTTAATGCCCTCAAATCTGTGCTCTGTTTGTTTAGAAGGGTTGTTTTTGAGGGAGGCAGGGAAGGGAAATGAGAATTGTACTGCATAAAGTGACTGGTTCCAATTGTCACTGAAAAAGAAGGCTGACGCTACACAGTGGGGATTAGAAAGTATGGAATTGAGAGGATTCTATACCCTGGGGCACTTCTTATAATTTCCATACACTGGTAGAACAGAACACAACATCAATCTAATGCAGTTAGAAGCATTAATAACAGATCCATTTGGAATAAAGGTTTGGGTCATGAAACTTGGTGAAACAAATAAACAAACAAAACTAAACTAACTTATGATCAATTGAAGGACTTGGTAACAGGTATTAGAATAAGGGAACAACGAATATCAAAATGGCTTCACAACCAGTTATAGAATTAGGACTGTATAAACTATGGATATTTTCTCCCTTGGTTTGTTATATGTTTGTATATGTTATTATTTTCCTCTTCACTCTCCTACCTTTATATAGGATGTGTTGGTGATTTTGTTTGTTTTTGAGACGGAGTCTCACTCTGTCACTCAGGCTGGAGTGCAGTAGCGCCATCTCGGCTCAGAGTAACCTCCGTCACCCGAGTTCAAATGATATTCCTGCCTCAGCCTCCTGAGTAGCTGGGATTACAGGCACACACCACCATGCCTGGCTAATTTTTGTATTTTTAGTAGAGATGGAGTTTCACCATGTTGGCCAGGCTGGTCTCTGAACTCCTCACCTCAAGTGATCCACCCGCCTCAGCCTCCTAAAGTGCTGGGATTACAGGTGTGAGCCACTGCGTCTGGCCATTTTTTTTTTTTTTTTTTTTTGAGATGGAGTCTCACTCTGTAAGCCATGTTGGAGTGCAGTGGCACCATCTCAGCTCACTGCAACCTCCGCCTCCCGGGTTCAAGCAATTCTTCTGCCTCAGCCTCCTGAGTAGCTGGGACTACAGGCGTGTGCCACCACTCCCGGCTAATTTTTTGTATTTTTAGTAGAGACAGGGTTTCACCACGTTGGCCAGGTTGGTCTCGAACTCCTGGCCTTGTGATCCGCCTGCCTCGGCCCCGCAAAGTGCTGGGATTACAGGTGTGAGACACCGCGCCCAGCCTGGCCATTTTTTTTAAGCAACTCTAATTCTGTAGTTGATTTACAGAGTACCAAAAAGAGATCATGACTGCTAAAAAGAGAATAACTGTTATCCACAAATGGACATGGTATTTTATGGGAATTTGTGTTACTTTTGCCTGTAGGGCTCTGGTTAGATTACACAATGTGAGGCAATCATGAAAAATTCATAAGGAGAGAATGAAAAACCATCATTCTCTAGTAGCAGCTGCAAGAATATTCATGAGCATCAACAGACAGCAATGTCAAGAGCAGTGAAGAGTTGGAGATCTTACTCTGCTTGCATCAAGTTAGCCTGTGACAGGTTCATAAATGCTGGCAGAAGACATGAGCCTGCTGGGTCAGAGACAAAGAACTTTATTATTCATGGCGTATCAGGCAGCATGAGCTTCATGTTCACATCAGGTCCCTTTGCCCAAGTCCCATAGGAGTGATGTGAAGCCATATGGGTAGATGCTTCACGCATAGTGGCTTTATGTCACAGCTGAGAAATCCTGAATTTATGACACCTCAATCTTATAAGGCAGCTGCCAGAAAACTCGAGCAAACTTTGTACAGGGAGAAGGACCTTATCTTTATTATCCTGATCAAATAAATCTATTCTCTGCCCCAGAAGGAAACACTATTGCTATATTTCAAGGCTATCTGCTATTAAACAACCTTGGGACGATAGTCCAGAACAAGAACTAATACAAGATATATGGAAATGCCATGGTGAATTGTCTTTTAATAAGCTTATGTGGTTGCATGAAATCCAAACAAGAAACTCAATTACTTGTTTTTCTAACCAATAACTGACAAACACCCTGTTGTTTTTGGAAACTCCAGCCAAGAAAATAAAATACAAAACAGATAAAACAAAATGGGGATAAAATTACTATTTACATATCACATAATTCTATTCCAGGAATACATTACAGAATCCCATAAAAATATTACAATTGCTAGAAGTCCATTAAAGTGACTAGAAAAGTATATTGTATATAAAAATACAAAAATTACTAACTCTCCTATGTATCAGTAATAGCCTGTGAAAACATCTATGTCAAAAAACCCAAACTTATAACCAACGGCAAATTAACTGCACAGCATCCAGGAATTAATTTAAATTAGTAAAAAGAATTGCATGAAGAAAACTAAACATTCTTATTACTAGATGTGGAAGAGGGATTGGAACAAGTGAAGAGAAATATAGAGCTCTTGGGTCATATAACCTAATGATATATTTACATTCTTTCTGAATTGAAGCTATAATGTAATGTTTATCAGAATTCTAACAGCATAAACAAAGGGTCAAAGCAGTGAAAAGTGAAACTATGTATGATGGTTAATATTGAGTGGCAACTTGATTGGATTGAAGGATGCAAAGTATTGTTCCTGGGTATGTCTGTGAAGGTGTTGCCAAAGAAGAGTAACATTTGAGTCATTGGACTGGGAGAGGCAAACCCACCCTCAAGCTGAGTGGGTACAATCTAATCAGCTGCCCGTGTGGCCATAATAAAAGCAGGCAGAAGAATGTGAGAAGACTAGACTGGCTTAGTCTCTGGGCCTACATCTTTCTACTGTGCTTAATGCTTCCTGCCCTTGAACATCAGACTCCAAGTTTTTCAGCTTTGGGACTCTTGGACCTTCGACCACAGACTGAAGGCTGCACTGTCGGCTTCCCTGCTTTTGAGGTTTTGGGACTCGGACTGGCTTCCTTGCTCCTCAGCTTGCAGAGAGCCTATTGTGGGATCTCACCATGTGATTGTGTGAGTAAATACTCCTTAACAAACTCCCCTTTACATATACATCTATCCTATTGGCTCTGTCCCTTTAAAGAACCCTGACTAATAACTGTGGGTAAGGAATAAATCATCAGATATCTAGGAAGAAAAGAAATTCAGGTCTAGATGAGTTAAACAGGCATTAGAACAGAGAAAATAAATCAAGATCTCCTGATTCAAAGTCCACAGTTCTTTCATTCAAAGTCCATATATTCTCATATATTCTACCATAAGTTTAAATTTTGTGTGCATTTCTATCACGTAGTAGATTAGTGAATAGTTTTATTGCTGCCCAACAGAATATCTTCAATTTAATCCAAATATTTTAAATGTAAGGAACTCTCAGACAGAATATTAAATGTTTGTCTTATATATGAATCTATCACCAAAGACTACAGTCATGTTTGGAAGACTTTCTAATGAGCTGTGATTTTTGTTATTCATCACCTCCCCTCCACCTTTTTGGTAATAGTACTGTTATTCTTTAGGGAAATGCCTCAACACCATTCTCATTCCATGTGTCTTGATGCACCCATTCTTCTCAGCTTCAGGAGTTTGCTTGAAAGAGGAAAGAGTTGGAGTGGAGGGATAGTTTCACATCTCCCTGGCCACTGTGATTAAATCAAGGTTCTGCATGGGCCTCACTCAGACCTAATGAAATGTAATGAGATAACTTTTTACCAGGGTCACCCAGAGACAGGCAAGTTTTGTCCTCCAGCGTAGCTGCTGGTATTCATAATGATGTGAGACTAGAGCTGACTGGAGTATAATGAAACCAACAGAGGGAAAGAAGATAATCATTTGACCTCCTGGGCCAAGCTCTGCTTTAAAAAATCAAATATTATTCCTGGGAGTTTTTATATTTTTTATTCAATAATGTTTTTAAATCAATTGATTGGATATTCTGTTACAGTAAAAAACAGTTCTAACCTATTCATCCAACTATTTAAAAGTGAATATAGTAGTCCTCCTTTATCCCTGGTTTTACTTTCCACAGTTCTGGTCAACAGTCTGAAACTGTCTGAAAATAATTTCAGTGGTCTGAAAAAGAGTACATTACAATTAGATATTGAGAGAGAGGGAGACAACATTCACATAAGTTTTATTACAGTATATGGTTATAATTGTTCTGTTTTATTAGCAATTATAAATCTCATACTATGCCTAATTTATAAATTAAACTTTATCATAAGTTTGATGTATAGGAAAAACACATACACAGAATTTGGTTCTATATATGGTTTCTGGCATCCACTGGGGATAAGGGGTAAACTACTGTACATGAGTATATATTTTAGAAAGGAAGAGGACAAACTTTGTATATTAATAGAATGCACAAAATATAAATGTAATACAAGAAAACTTCAGTGTCAGTATTTTTTAAGATTTTTAAGCTCTATTCATAAAATACCTATAGCTTTTGTTTTGAGTTAGGCAATCCTTTGGAGAGACACTTCCTTGTGTATGCAAATTTCCTTAATATTTAAAGAATTCCATTGGAAGAAGTGATGTGTAAAAAATGATAGTCAAAATAAATATGTATTTATGCTTAATTTTGAACAAAAGTCTGAATCATTTGTAGGAGGAAAATACAAGTATATGAGAGTTGATAAGATTTTGCTTGACTACCGAATTACTGAATCAATAACAAATGTGGATATAAAAATCTTTCCTTCCTAATTGCTGTCTTTTATCTATGTCCCTATCACTACCACATAACTGCCAACTTTTGTCCAGGCAGGGTGTGGTGTCTCATGCCTGTAATCCTAGCATTTTGGAAGGCCAAAGCAGGAGTATCACTTGAGCTCAGGAGTTCTCAACCAGCCTGGGCAACACTGACACCTTATCTCTGTAAAAATAAATACATAAATAATTTTTTTTTAAAAAAGCAACTTTTGTCCAGCCTAGGGCACCTCAGCATTCATGTGGTCAATCATTTCAGTTTCTTGATCTCCTGCTCTCCTACTAACAATTATATAAAATAAATATTTATCAAACTCCTAGTCATTGCTTATGCAGTAAACCAAAATGGTTAATCTCCTAGTCATTACCTATTGCAGAAAATCAAAATAATTTTTTTCTAGCTGCAAGGGTCTTACATTCCACTGGAAAACACTTGGAAAATAATAAATAACTGTGTAATACAATGTCAGGTAATTAAGTGCCATGAAATTAAACAATGCAAAATTAAATAAAACATTGTCTGAAATAATGCTATTTTAGAGCAGTCAGGAAAGGATTCTGAAGAGTGATGTTTAAGCAAAGATTGTACTGACCTAAAGATGATCTATGCAACATCTTGGGACAGAACTGATGGAACAGCAAGAATATTCTCCCCAAGTTAGAGTTCGTTTGTTAAGTTAGAGCAAGAAGCTCACTGCCTGGACAAGAGGAAAATGAACCTGGAGAAGTGGCTAGAAGCCAAGTACATATGGCCTCATATGTAAAATAAATTTTGAATTTAATTCTAAAACGCCATTGAAGAGTTCTGAACTGGAGCCGGTATCAGATGACCTGCACTTTAAAAAGATTACTTCAGGCTGGGCGCGGTGGCTCACACCTGTAATCCCAGCACTTTAGGAGGCCGAGGTGGGTGGATCACGAGGTCAGGAGATCGAGACCATCCTGGCTAACACGGTGAAACCCCGTCTCTACTAAAAATACAAAAAATTAGCCGGGCGTGGTGGTGGGCGCCTGTAGTCGCAGCTACTCCGGAGGCTGAGGCAGGAGAATGGCGTGAATCCGGGAGGCGGAGCTTGCAGTGAGCCAAGATCGCGCCACTGCACTCCAGCCTGGGCGACAGAGCCAGACTCGGTCTCAAAATAAGATAAAATAAATAAATTTAAAAAAGTAAATAAATAACACTCATGCTAACATCCCTAATATCCTTGTTCTTCAGATTATTCATTTTACCGATTTGGAAAAAAATGCAAATCTAGATGCCTCCATGATCTGCTTATTCTATTTCTGCAACACAGCTTTGTGCCATTTTTCAACACACACTCACAGACAAACCTGGGTATCATTCCTAATACCTCTTTCCCTTCTCCCTTATCTTTGATACCCTTTCCAAAATATCATCAAGTTCTCTTAAGCTCTCCAATGGATCCATTCTTGCTATGTGTTAGACATCACTTTTGTCCTGAACTTCAAGATCCTCTAACCAGTCCCTACAACCTTCCACCCCCTACAATACATTGATGCAACCAGAGTGATTTTTATTTTTTACAATCAAGTCTAATTATGACTTCTTTGGTTAAAATTTCAGTGAGTTCACCTTGGGATAATTTTTTATAAAATGGCCTGTAGATAGGGTGACTATATAACTTGTAGCTCAGAATGGGACACTTTAGTAAGTATAAAGGGGAACTATTAATGGATGTGTTAGGACAACTGACATAAACCTGGACTACCCTGGGAAAGCTGGAACATGTGGCCAGACAACATAATATCCTATTGATCCTGTTACTCTCTAACTCTCCCGTCTCATCTCACATTCCATTCCCATCATTTAAAAGCATTCCAGCCACAATTTCACAATTTCTACTCATTCCGCAATCCATGCCAATTTAGCTTCTCCCTCCTCCAGGATAACAGCTTCTGATCTTCTAGTCTAGGTTTAGTCCTCCTATTATATTCACTTAACACATCAAGTACCTCTCCTTCTTGTAATTTTATATTTACTTGTGTTGTTGTTTAATTGTCTCACTTTCTAGGCAGTTACTTTTGCTTACTATATAACTAAATTTCCTGTAAAATGTCCACTATATAGTGACACTCAATAAATATTTCTTAGACACAGAATAAGTAAATGAAAATTTAAATCATGTTGCAAAGTGGGTAATTATGCTTATCACTCTGTTCTGAACAGTGGTAGATCTTAGTTAAGTCCCCTTTCTATGTGTTAATTCTAACACGGTTTGAATGGAAAAAATACAATTTTTTCCAATATGCTCCAAATATTTGCAATTGCTTTTCAGCAGTTGTATAGCTTTGCTCTGTCCTACATTGAAACCAGGTTGAAATAGACACAGCTGTAGGGCTATCCCTTATGCTTGCTATTGTTGTGACTGATAAGTATGGCATAATGGGATATAAGAACAAACGCATGTATATGTACAATAGAAATTGCCTGTGCATCTATTTTTACCTATATCCTGTCCCCACTGCCTATACCATCCCCATCAGGAAATTAGTTTGGAAATGAGGCATAAAATTCCATACCTAAATGAATGCAAACAATTTTTTTTCCTGAAAAAAAAAGAAAAAAATGTTTGTATGGAGGGAGTAGAGTGGGGTGGCATAGCCACATTTTTGCTGTCTTCTTGAGCTGGATGAATTGTTTGGGTTCATTATGACTCTACTATTCCCATAAATGAGTTATAATTATTCTCTCAGTACAATGTAGACACTAGTACCAAGCCTGCCAACTTGTAAGAGCAAATTCCATGACATAACAGCTTAAATCTTTTCAAAACTGTTGTTGAGTTCTGAATGTTTGTCCCCCTGTACCACCCCCTGCAACTCCCAAATTCATATATTGAAATTTAATCCCCAATGTGTTGATATAAAAAAATGAGACCTTTGGGAGGTGACTAAGTTATGAGGGCTCTGCCCCCAAGAATGGGATTAGTGTCTTTATAAAAGAGACTGAGAGGGTTGTCTTGACCATCTGCCATGTGAGGACATATAGAAGGTGCCATTTATGAGGAGTGGGCCCTCACCAGAAACTAAATTTGCTCCCACCCTCACACTGGACTTCCCAGGCTCCAGAATTGTGAGCTATAAATTTCTATTGTTTATAAATTACTTAGTCCAAAGTATTTTGTTATAGCAGCCCAAACAGCCTAAAAAAACTTATAAATCTCTTATGAGTCTAGGCAATGAATATTCATGGCCACTAGAATCACAAAAGTGACTAGTCACCCTGTCGTGCTATCAAATAACAGAACTTATTCATTCTATCTAACTATATTTTTGTGCCCATTAACCATCCTCACTTCCCCCCTCACTACCCTTTCCAGCCTCTGGTAACTATCCTTCTACTATCTCCATGAGTTCAATTGTTTTAATTTTTAGCTCCCACAAATCAGGGAGAACATGTGAAGCTTGTCTTTCTGTGCCCAGCTTATTTCACTAACATATTTACCTCCACTTCCATCCGTGATGTTGCAAATGAGAGGATCTCATTCCTTTTTACAGCTAAATAGTACTCCATTGTGTAAATGTACCACTTTTTTTTATTTATTCATCTGTTGATGGACATTTAGGTTGCTTCCAAATCTTGGCTATTTTGAATAGTGCTGCAATAAATATGAGAGTGCAAATATGTTTTTGATATACTAATGTCCTTTCTTTTTTGTATATACCTAGAAATGAGATTTCTAGATCATATGATAGCTCTATTTTTAGTTTTCTGAACAACCTCCAAACTGTTCTCCATAGTGGTTGTACTAATTTACATACCCACCTACAGTGTACAAGGGTTCTTTTTCTTCACATCTTTGTCATAATTCTTTATTGCCTGTCTTTTGGATAAAAGCCATTTTATCTGGGGTGAGATGATATCTCATTTAGTCTTGATTTGCATTTCTCTGATGACCAATGATGTTGAACACCTTTTTATATATCTGTTTTCCATTCATATGTCTTCTTTTGAGAAATATCTATTCAGATCTTTTGCCCATTTTTAATTAGATTATTAGATTTTTTCCTTCAGAGTTGTTTGAGCTCCTTGTATATTCTGGTTATTAATCCCTTGTCAGATGGGTAGTTAGCAAATATTTTCTCCTACTCTGTTGGCTGTCTCTTCCCATTGTTGATTGTTCCCTTTGCTGTGAAGAGCTTGTTAAGTTGATCGTGATCCCATGTGTCCATTTTTGCTTTGGTTGCCTGTGCTTGTGGGGTATTAATCAAGAAATCTTTGCCCACTCCAATGTCTTGGAGAGTTTTCCCCAATGTTTTCTTGTAGTACTTTCATAGTTTGAAGTCTTAGATTGAAGTCTTTAATCCATTTTGATTTGATTTTTGTATAAATGAAAGATAGGGAACTAGTTTCATTCTTTTAAATATGTATATCCAGTTTTCCCAGCACCATTTATTGAAGAGACCGTTCTTTCCCCAATGTATGTTCTTGGTACCTTAATCAAAAATGAGTTCACTGCAGGTGTTTGGATTTGTTTCTGGGTTCTCTATGCTATTTCATTGGTCTATGTGTCTGTTTTTATGCCAGTACCATGCTGTTTTGGTTACTATAGCTCGGTAGTATAAATTGAAGTCAGGTAATGTGATTTCTCCAGTTTTGTTCTTTTGCTTAGGATAGCTTTTGTTATTCTGTGCCTTTTATGGTTTCATATAAATTTTAGGGTTGCCTTTTCTATTTCTGTGAAGAATGTCATTGATATTTTGATTGGGATTACATTAAATCTATATATTGCTTAGAGTAGCATGGGCGTTTTCACAATATTGATTCTTGTAATACATGACCATGGAATATCTTTCCATTCTTTTGTGTCCTCTTCAATTTCATTCATCGATATTTTACAGCTTTTGTCATTGATATCTTTTAATTCTTTGATTAAGATAATTCCTAGGTATTTGATTTTATTTGTAGCTATTGTTAATGAGATTGCTTTCTTGATTCCTTTTTCAGACTATTTTCTGTTGGCATATAGAAATGCTACTGATTTTTGTATGTTGACTTTGTATCCTGCAACTTTAGTGTATTTGTGTATCAGTTCTAATAGCTTTTTTGGTGGAGTTTTTCCAAATATAAGATCATATCATCTGCAAACAAGGATAATTGGACTCCTTTGTTTCCAATCTGAATGTCCTTTATTTTTTTCTCATTTGATTGCTGTACCTAGAATTTCCAGTAGTATGTTGAATAACAGTGGTGAAAGTGGGCATCCTTCTCATGTTCCAGATCTTAGAGGAAAGACTTTCATTTTTTTCCCATTCAGTATGATACTAGCTGTGGAGCTATGGATCTACCATATATGGCTTTTATTGTGTTGAGGTAAGTTTCTTCTATACCCAGTTTTTTGAGGTATTTTATCTTGAAAGTATGTTGAATTTTATCAAAAGCTTTTTCAGCATCAATTGAAATGACTATATGGTTTTTGTCCTTCATTCTGTTTATATGATGCATTACATTGGTTGACATGCATATGTTGAACCATCCTTGCATCCCTGGCATAAATTCCACTTGTTCATCATGAGTTACCTTTTTAAATGTGTTGTTGAATTTGGTTTGACAGTATTTTGTTGAGGACTTTTGCATCAATGTTCATCAGGAATATTGGACTGTAGTTTTCTCTTTTTTAATGTGTCTTTGATTTTAGTATCGGAGTCATACTAGTCTTGTGGAATGAGTTTAGTAGTATTCCCTCCTCTGTTTTCTGAAATAGTTTGAGTAGAATTGTTGTTAGTTCTTCTTTAAATATTTGGTAAAATTCAGCAGTGAAACCTAGGCTTTTCTTTGTTGGGATAATTTTTTATTAAGGCTTCAATTTCATTACTTGTTATTGGTTTGTTCATGTCTTGTGTTTCTTTGTGGTACAACTTTGTTAGGTTGTGTGTATCTAGCAATTTATCAATTTCTTCTAGGTTCCCCATTTATTGACATACAGCTGCTCATAGTACCCTCTAATGGTCCTTTGAATTACTGTAGTATCAGTTGTAATGTTACCTTTTTCATCTCTGATCTTATTTATTTGGGTCTTCTCTCTTTCTTTCTTAGTATGGCTAAAGGTTTTTTTATCTTTTCAAAATACTATTTTATTTCATTTATCTTTTGTATTGTTTTCTTTATGTCCGTTTCATTTATTTCTGCCTCAGTGTTTATTATTTTCTTCTGCTAATTTTGGTTTTGGTTTGCTCTTGCTTTTCTAGTTCCTTAAGATTCATTATTAGGTTGTTTATTTGAAGTTTTTCTAGTTTTTTTTTTCTTGTAGGTGTTTATAGCTCTCAGTACTGCTTTTGCTGTATCCCATGTTTTGGTATGTTGTGTTTTCATTATCACTTCTTTCAAGAAATTTTTCAATTTCTTTCTTAATTTCTTCATTGACCCACAGGTCTTTGAGGAGCATATTGTTTAATTTCCATTTGTTTGTATAGTTTCTCATATTCCTCTAGTTTTTGACTTCTAGTTTTATTCCCATATGGTCAGAGATAATTCTTTGATTTTAATTAAGAAAATGTTTAAGACTTCTTTTGTGGCCTAACATATGTCCTTGAGAATAATCCAAGTGCTAAGGAGAAGAATGTGTATTCTACAGCCATTGGATGAAATGTTCTGTAAGTATCTACTTGGTCCATTTGGTCTACAGTGCAGATTAAGATTGGCTGATTTTCTCCATCAGAGATCTGTACGATGCTGACAGTGGGGTGTTGAAGTCTCCAGCTGTTACTGTATTGGAATCTATCTCTCTCTTTAGCTCTAATATTTGCTTTATATATCTGGATGTTTCAGCATTGGGTACATATATGTTTAAAAGTGTTATGTATTCTTGCTGAATTGACCCCTTTATCATTATATAGTGACCTTGTTTGTCTCTTTTGATAGTTTTTGTCTTGAAATCTATTTTGCCAGATATAAGTGTAGCTACTTCTGCTCTTTTTTTGGTTTCCATTGGCATGAAATATCTTTTGCTACACTTTTATTTTAGGTCTATGTTTGTCTTTATAGGTGAAGTGCATTTCTTCTAGGCAAGAGGTCATTGTTGTTGTTTTAAATCCGTTTAGCCACTCTATGTCTTTTAGTTGGAGAGTTTAGTTCATTTATATTCAACACTATTATTGATAAGTAAATATTGCCTCTCATTTTGTTATTTGTTTTCTGGTTGTTTTGTGGTCTTCTCTTTTTTCCTTCCTTTTAGTGAATGCGATTTTCTGTGATGATATATTTTAATTTGTTGCTTTTTATTTTTAGTGTATCTGTTTCTATGTGTTTTGAATTGAGGTTACCATGAGGCTTGTGAATAATATCTTATAACCCATTTTTTAAAAACCAATGACCACTAATGCTGTTTGTATAAACATACTAATAAACAAGCAAAGAGAAAACTAATAAAAAATTCATACTTTAAGTTTACTTCCTCACTTTAAAACTTAGGATGGTTATTTCTATTCATGTCTTATTATAGTATGTCTTGAAAAGTTATTATTTTTAATTGGTTCATCTTTTAGTCTTTCTACTTAAGATATGAATAGTTTACACACCCCAGTTGCAGTGTTATAATATTCTGGGTTTTTCTGTGTACTTACTGTTACTAGTGAGTTTTGTACATTTGGATGATGGTTTATTGCTCATTAACATCCTTCTCATTTGGGTTGAAGAACTCCCTTTAGCATTTCTTCTAGGACAGGTCTGGTGTTGATGAAATCCTTCAGGTTTTGTTTGTCTGGGAAAGTCTTTATTTTTCCTTCATGTTTGCTGGGTATGTTATTCCAGGATAAAAGGGTTTTTTCTTTCAGCACTTTAAATATGTCATGCTACTCTCTCCAGGCCTGTAAGGTTTCCATGGAGAAGTCTCTGGCCAGAGGTATTGGAGCTCCATTGTATGTTATTTGTTTCTTTTTTCTTGCTGCTTTTAGGATACAGTTTTTCTCCTTGACCTTTGGAAGTTTGATTATTAAATGTCTTGAGGTAGTCTTATCTGGGTTAAATCTGCTTCGTGTTCAATAACTTTCTATAAACATACTTGAATATGATACTTGAATATTCACGTCTTTCTCTAGGCCTGGAAAGTTCTCTGTTATTGTGCCTTTGAACACATTTTCTGCCCCTATCTCTCTTTCTACCTCTTTTTTAAGGCCACTAATTCAGATTTTTGTTTTTGTGGTTATTTTCTAGATCTTATAGGTGTGTGTCATTCTTTTTAATTCTGTTTTCTTTTCTCCCCTCTGACCATGTATTTTTAAATAGCCTGTCTTTAAGCTCACTAATTATTTCTTCTGCTTGGTTGATTCTGCTCTTAAGTGACTCTGATATATTCTTCAGTATGTCAATTGAGTTTTTTAACTCCTGAATTGCCGCTTAATTCTTTTCAATTATTTCAATCCCTTTGTTAAATTTATCTGATAGAATTCTGATTTTCTCTGTGTGTGTTATCTTGAATTTCACTGAATTTCCTCAAAACAGCTATTTTTGTCTGAAAGGTCACATATCTGTCTCTTCCAGACTGGTCCCTGCTGTACTATTTAGTTTTTTTTTTTTTTTTTTTTTTTTGGTGAGGTCATGTTTTCTTGGATGGTGTTGATGTTTGTGAGTGCTCTTCGGTGTCTGGGTATTGAAGAGTTAGGTATTTATTGTAGTGACTGCAGTCTGGGCTTGTTTGCACCCATTTGTCTTGGGAAGGTTTCCAAGTATTCAAAGGGACTTGTGTGCTATAATTTAAGTTTTCGATCACTGCATCCATGTCTGCATTAGTGGGTACTCCAAGCCAAGTAACACCGTGGATCTTGCACACTCAGAGAGGTACTGCTTTGGTGGTCTCGGATAAGATCCAGAAGAATTATATGTATTACCAGGCAGAGACTCTTGTTCTCTTCCCTTACTTTCTCCTAAATAAATGGAGTCTCTTTCTCTGTTCTGAGCTGCCTGAATCTGGGGGATGGGTGACACAAGCTTCCCTGTAGCCAACACCATTGGACATACATGGGAACGGGATCAGATCTAAAGCCAGCAAAACACTGAGTCTTGCCCAAGGCTCACTGTAAGCACTGCCTTGTTACTTACTATGTTTGCTCAAGGCCCTAGAGCTCTATAACCAGCAGGTGTCAAAGCCAGCCAGACTTGTATCTTTCCCTTCAGGGTGGCAAGTTCCCTCTGGTCACTGGCATGTCCAGAAATGCCATCCAGAAGCCAGGGCCTGACATTGGAAACCTTAGGCATCTACCTAGTACTCTATTCTACTCTGGCTGAGCTGCCACCCAAGCCACAAGACAAAGTCCTTGCTATTTTTTTCCCATTTCCACAGGCAGAAGAGTCTCTCCCTGTGGCTATCACCACCCAGGCCCCCAGCAAATACTGCCAGTCTACTGCTATTGTTCATTCAAGGACCAAGGGCTCCTCAGTCAGTCTGTGATGAATGCCGCCAGGCCTGGGACTCTCCCTTCTGGGCAGTGGGCTCTCCTCTGGCCCAAGGCAGGTCCAAAATTGCCTTCCAAGGGCCAAGGCCTGGAATCAGGGACCCCCAAGGGCCTGCTTGGTTCTGTAGCTCATTGTGGCCAAGCTGGTGCCTATGCTGCAAGACAAAGTCCCCTTTACTCTTTCCTCTCCTTTCTCAAGCAGAAGGAGTCTCTTCTCAGCCACCATAGCTGGGAATGTGCTAGAGGACACCTGAAACCAGCATGTCTCTGAGTCTCCTCCAAATTCCAAGGCAAGTACTGCCTGTGTACTGCTGCTGATTATTCAGGGCCCAAGTGCTCTGTAGTCAGCAGGTAATAAAATCTGTCAGGTCTAGGTCCTTCCCTTCAAAGCAGTAGGTTCCCTTCTGTGCCTAGAAATGTCATGCAGGAGCTAGGGCCTGGAATAGGTGCCTCAGGACTCTGCCCAGTGACCTATCCTACTGTGGCTGTGAGGGTATCCAAGTTGCAAGACAAAATTATCTTTCCTCTTCTCTCTCTTCTCCTCAAGAGGGTTAAGGAGTCTCTCTTAGACCTTCCAGCTGTGCTGCCTGGGGTTGAGGCAGGGTGGCAGGAGCACTTTCTTGACCACCTCTGTTGGTGTTTCACTAGGCTGCATGCCCCCCATGTCCACTGGCTCTAAGCCCAGCACAGGATCAGGACTTGCCCAGGAATTGCAGTCCTTGTGGTCTTGACTGGCTTTCAAGTTTATTTAGGATCCCAGAGTCCTTTAGCCCATAGTGGCAAGACTTGCCTTAACTCAGGATCCAAGTGCCAGGATGGACAATTCCCATCTGGCTAGGGCTGGTGTAAATGCTCCCTCTGTGGTGCCACCTGAGCTCTGCCACAGTCACTGTGCTCTTCCTCCCCAAAGTGTACAGATTCTCTCTCCTCACCATGCAGCCACTGCCAGGGCTTGGAGGAAGGGTTGGTGTCAGCAATTCGAGACCGTTTTTCCTCCCTCTTCAGTGCCTCTTTCAGTGATATGAAGTTAAAAACAGTTACTGTGATTGCTTACCTGATTGTTGGTTCTTATGAAGGTGCTTTTTTGTGTGGATAATTGTTTAATTTGGTGTTTCTGCGGGGTGAATGACCATTAGAGGTTTCTACTCAATCATCTTGCTCCACCACAGAACTTTATCTTCAGGTCTACCCGCCAAGGTATTATGGTTGAAACGATATGATGTCTGGGATTTTCTTCAAAATAATCTAGGGGAAGGGTGAAAGGGAGTGGAGTATAGGTGAAACAAGATGGTTTTGAGTAGATATTTACCTAAGAAAGGTTATGGGTACAGGGGTTTTATTGTACTACTGTTTATATATTTTAAAAATTTTACAATAAAACCTCAAATTTAAAAAAAATGCGTAAGAAAAAGAAGCAATTCCTTTATCCTCTTCTTTTCCTCTTTCTAATACTTTTCCTTCTCTCTCTCAGAAATGGAGGCTAGGAGAGATAGGTTTATCTAAGGTACACAGATTTCAAAACCTGCAGTTTCTGAGAAGATTATTAATTTCACATTCCTGCAATAAACATCTGTGTGTGCATGTGTGCGTGTCCTTGTGTATTTTACTCCCTGTAAAAAAATATTTTTATTGTAATCTCAAAGAAATGTAGAATCTGATGTGGATACACAACTGTAGAGTAAATATACTGTATTTCTTATAATTTTCACTGAATGATTATTCTTGTGTATAAAGGTGATTTTCATTTGATTAACTATAAATGGTAAAATGTACACCTTTTTCTACCTTTAGTCCTGACCAAATTGAAGATGTAAAATAATTATAAGCTTCATTTCTGAGCATTTTTATCAAAAAGAGAGAAAATTTTGTTTTTGTTTCTAATTATTCAAGAAATACATGATTCTGATTGTGAAAAAAAATCCTCAAATAATAAGTATAGAGAGCAAAAAAGGAAATCTTATTTCTCTGGCAAAGCATTTCCTTCAGAATATCCACTACTTACAGTTTAGTTTGTGTTCATTCAGAAATTGCTATGGATTTACACATCTTTATCTATATTTCCACATTATATGCTTTTAAAAATATATAAATGGGAACATCTTGTGTTTTTTTTTCTGTGACTTTCTTTCTCTTAACAATAATCATTAGCATATAATTCTTTGCAAACTTATGTAGATAACCTCATTGTTTAACCAATTTGTTTTGGTGAATAGTATGGATGCAGTATAATTTAACTATATCCATACTGATAGATGTTTGTTTCTAGTGTTGGTATTACAAACAGTATAGTGGCACACACATCCTTGTACATGAAATTTTGTTGGCATATAAAAGTATTTCTGTTGGATAAATGCCGTTTTTTTTTTTTTTTTTTTTTTTTTGAGACAGAGTCTCACTCTGTAGCCCAGGCTGGAGTGCACTGGTGCGATTTTGGCTCACTGCAAGCTCCACCTCTGTGAATGGGTTCACACCATTCTCCTGCCTCAGCCTCCCGAGTAGCTGGGACTACAGGCGCCCGTCACTGCAGCCGGCTAATTTTTCGTATCTTTTTAGTAGAGATGGGGCTTCCCTGTGTTAGCCAGGATGGTCTCGATCTCCTGACATCGTGATCCACCCGCCTCGGCCTCCCAAAGTGCTAGGATTACAGGTGTGAGCCACTGCACCCGGCTGATAAATGCCTTCTTCTATAGGATAAATTCCCCAGAGTGGAATTACTGGGTCAATGGTCTTGTTTAAAATTATATTCAATACTATTAAATTGCCTTCTGAAAAGCTATACAAATTACTTTCTCACCAGCAATGAAATTCAGAACCCATTCCCCCTACATCCATGATAATAATAGTTACTATCAATTTACCTAATTTAATTCAATTTTATGTGTAAAAAGTAGTCACTCATATTTTTTCAATTACTAGTCAGTTTGAATGTTATTTACAGACTTATGAGCCATTATATTTCTTTCATGAATTTCTCTCCTTTATGTGTATTAAAAACTTTTTTGTAGTCACTCTTTCTATACAACAAATACTGTTTCTCCACTACATTAATTTCAAGGTCTCTTTCAGTCCTTTGCTTGTGTTTAATTTTAATTGTAATAAACTTTGACAGAGAGAAGTAATTTTTATGGAATTTTTAGTTGTTGTTCTGTAGTGTTTCTCACTAAGAAAGTCTTCCTGAACATCAAAATTTAAAAAATATGTATATATACATATAGATAGATTTTTTCTTCTAGTAATATTACAGACTTATTTTATATATTTGACCTATGAACAATTTGCAATTTATTTTTTGAATAGGGTATAAGGTAGGTGTAGGATACAGTCAAATTCCTCTTCAAAGGTTTTAGCCTGTTAACTTACTTTAAAATCTAAGAAGGGAAAATCGTTAAGTACAATGAGTTCTGAGTTCCTCTTCAAAGAGCCAATATGTCAGTATGTTCAGCTTCCCTGTTCTTTGTTCTCCATTTTAATTTCCTCGTTCTTTATGTCTCTTTGCCCCTAGTTTCAGTAAACAACTCCTTCCTAGCCTCTATCACCTGCTCTGTCCTTAGTCATCCCTAGTCACCTCCTCTGTAACCATCCTTCCCACTGAAACTATTCACCCTGCCACTCTGGCTCATACCCCTGCTTTCTTTAAAACAGCCAATCGGAATTAGCTTAGACTGTGCAGTCCAACCCTAGACAATGGGGAAAAATACAGCAGTAGGGACTAGCTGCATTAGGATAAGAACCCCTTCTCCTCCCTTGTCCAGTGTGCTCTCGCCATTGCTTCATCTGTGAGATGAACCCTTCTATAGAAGTAAATTGCCTTGCTGAGAAAACTTTTGCCTGAGTGCTATTTTCACTTGGTGGCACTGAGCATTTACTTCCAACAAATTTAGGGGCCCTCCTGGGATCCCATTCTCCTCTGGGGAATAGTTTCTGATCACCTCTTAAGAGGAGACGTGTCCTGCTGCCTCACTGAGGTGGCCCCAGGGGCAAGGAATGGAGACCCACCCAGTGTGATGAATAAACCCAGACTCTCAGCAACGTGGGAAAAAAAGGCCTACAAATAAATACCGCAGTGACCAGGTAACTCTGTGCACAGACCAAGGTAAGAAAAGCGGCAGGGACGATGAAGTATTTTCTTGGTGGTTGGGACCAAGATAAGAAAAGCTGTAGAGGCAGTGAAGTATTTCTTGGTCAGGACATACCAAGGTAAGAAAAGCCACGGGAACAGTGAAGTATTCCTTGGTGGTCAGGACATCCTGGAAGTTGAAAGTGTGTGAGTGAGACACACAATTGAGTGCAGAGCAAGTGCAGAGTCTAGATCTCGTTCTGCAGTCACCTCATATGGCTTAAAGGTGGCTTGCCTTAGTGGGGTTTATACTGACTTGCCTATGCTAAGAGGGACCTGAAAATTCCCACAAGGAAAGCAGATGGAGGACAAGCAAAAGCTGAAGGGTGCAAGAAATCTCTAGTAGGCGAGGTTAAGCCCTGCAGACTAGCTAGGTTGCAAGAAATTTCTAGTAAGAGAGATTGAGCCCTGCGGACTCAGGGAAAAGCACTTTCTCCAGGATGGGAAATACAGCAAGTAAGACAAAAGATAGGAAGGATCATGATCATGGTAATATCCCCTCTGATAGTCTCCTAGGCCTAATGTTAGAATACTGGAAGGATAACAGAAGGACCAAACACAAGAAAAAGCTGCAAGTGATAAAATACTGCTGTTTTATTTGGACTAAAGAACCTTCCTCTCCCCAAGCAGCTGCCACCCCAGACCGTTCCCCTACTCATGTTATACCCTCTCCCCAATAATCCTGAGTGTCACCCCTCAAGGGGACTTCAACATGAGATAGAACAATAAGAAAAATACCCGAAATTTCCCTTTCCCCAGTATCTCCAAGAGTTTGCTCAAACTCTTTTTCCCTTAAGGGAAGTGCTTCTTGGAGGAGGGGGCATTGGCTTTCTGAACACCCCCTTAACCAGCTCAAAAGTCTGAAACCTAAAAACAAAAGGAGCTTAAACCACTCTTAGATGACGCTTACGAAGTGGCAGATCAAATTGATCAGATTTAGGACCCCAGTTATATACTTGGGCTAAGTTAATGTCTATCTTAGGCATCTTTTTCTTAGCAGAAGAAAGGAGCATGATACACAGGGCTGCTATGACCTTGTGGGAACATGAACACCCTTCCAATCAGAATGTCCCAACAGCTGAACAAAATTTCCAGCCCAGGATCCTCAGTTGAATAACAACCATATAGCCCATCAAGGAACTATGAAAGATCTTAGAGGAGACAGAAGTGAAATACAAAAACCAATCAGCTAATATCAAATTTCTGTTAATTCCAGAAGCAGGGACAAATCTATTAGGAAGAGATTTAATGCTAAAATTAGGCTTAGGCCTCCAAATCAATCATGGAAAATTCCTCCCTTCCCTAAACTTGCTCACCACCACAGATGAAGAACACATTCATCCCGAGGCATGGCCAAAAGACGGGAATCTAGGAAAGTTACAGATTCTTCTGATTCATGTTAAATTAAAAACCCCTGGGGAAGTAGTAAAGAGAAAGAAATACCCTATTCCTTGAGAAGCCAGGGTAAGTTTATAACCTATAATTGAAGGTCTTCTCTGTGATGGGCTTCTTGAACCCTGTATATCTCCCTATAACTCTCCAATACTACTGCAAAGAAGCCAAACGGGTCATACCAGTTAGTGCAAGACCTTAGAGCTATTAATCAGATAGTCCAAACTACATACCCTGTTGTTCCCAATCCTTATACTATTATCAGTAGGATCCCATACAGCCACCAATGATTATAGTCATAGATTTAAAAGATACCTTCTGGGCCGGGCATGGTGGCTTATGCCTGTAATCCCAGCACTTCAGGAGGCCGAGGTGGGCAGATCACGAGGTCAGGAGATCGAGACCATTCTGGCTAACACGATGAAACCCCATCTCTACTAAAAAAATACAAAAAAAATTAGCCAGGCGTAGTGGTGGGCACCTGTAGTCCCAACTACTCAGGAGGCTGAGGCAGGAGAATGGCATGAACCCGGGAGACGGAGCTTGCAGTGAGCGGAGATGGTGCCACTGCACTCCAGCCCGGGCAACAGAGGGAGACTCCATCAAAAAAAAAGTCTTCTGGGCTTGTCCGTTGGCAGAGGACAACCAGGACCTATTTGACTTTGAGTGGGAAGACCCTCACTCCAGTCAAAGCAGCAATACTGATGGACAGTCTTATCCCAGGGGTTTACAGAGTCTCCAAATTTATTTAGTCAAATATTAGAACAAGTCCTAGAGAAACTTTCCCTGCCCTTGCGCATATGCCTCCTCCAGTACCTGGATAATCTTCTAATTTCAGGAGATGATAGAGAAGAAGTAGCAGCCTTCTCAACCCATGTCTTAAATTTTCTATGGGATGAAGGCCTAGGGGTCTCAAAAAACAAACTCCAATTTGTAGAAACTAAAGTAAAATATTTAGGGCATTTAATTAGCAAAGGTAAACGAAAACCGGGCTTGAACAGATTGAAGGCATCATATCCTTGCCTCTGCCGGAGACTAAAGAACTTAGAAAATTTTTTGGATTAGCTAGATACTGTCATCTATCGATAGACTCTTATGCCCTAGAAACAAAACCCTTATACAAAAAGCTTATGCAAGACGAGCCAGACCCCCTTGTTTGGCAATTACCAAAAATCCAACAGGTGGAAAGGTTAAAACACCTATTAGTAACTGCCCCTGTCCTAGCTTTACCCTCCTTAGAGCAGCCATTCCATCTTTTTGTCAACGTAAAAAAAGGCGTAGCCTTAGGAGTACTTACCCAAAAGCACGAAGGCCATCAGTAACCCGTAGCCTTTCTATCAAAAATCCTTGACCCAGTAGCCAGCGGATGGCCCGAATGCATTCAATCTGTAGTGGCAACTGCTTTGCTAACAGAAAAAAGTAGAAAAATAACTTTTGGAGGAAACCTCACTGTGAACACACCTCATCAGGTCAGAACTATCATTAAGTCAGAAGGCAGAAAGATGGCTTACTGAGTCAAGAATTTTAAAATACAAGGCTATCTTGTTAAAAAAAAAAAAGATGATTTAACCCTAACCACTGATGATTCACTGTTTCCTTCTTAACAGGAAATCCAAACCCAGAAAAAACCCATGCCCCAGACCAGAACTTGGGCATAGATGATTAGATATTATTGCCTATCAGACAAAAGTTAGACCAGACTTAAATGGAACTCCCTTTCAAACCGGAAGACACCTTTTTGTAGATGGTTCTTCTCAAGTAATAAAAGGGAAAAGGCACAACAGGTACTCAGTAGTAGACAGAGACACCCTCACAGAAATAGAATCAGGAAGATTACCTAAAACTGGTCTGTGCAAACATGAGTTGTTTGCACTAAATCAAGCCTTAAAATTTCTTCAAAATCAGAAAGGAACTATTCATACTGACTCCAAGTATGCCTTTGGAGTAGTCCACACCTTTGAAAATTTGGGCAGAGTGAGGCCTCATTAACAGTAAAGGTCAAAACTTAGTCCACTGAGACTTAATAATCCAAGTACTAGAGAACTTACAGCTGCCAGAAGAGATAGCAGTTGTTCATGTTCCAGGTCACTAGAAGAATCTTTCCTTAGGGAGCCAAGGATAACCTAGCTGACCGAGTAGCCAAATAAGCTGCCTCTTCTCAAGCCGCACCCATTTTCCACCTAACCCCTTATCTTCCCCCTCCAGCTGTAGTTCCTATCTTCTCCCCCAGAGCGTAAGAAAAGCTAAAAGAAACAGGAGCCAAAGAAAACCACGAGGGAAAATGGATACTACCAGACAAGAGAGAAAGGCTGTCTAAGCCCCTCATGTGAGAGATATTGTCACAGCTACATCGAGGACCTCACTGGGGCCCCCAGCCTATGTGTGATGCAGTCCTTACAGTTTATGGATGCATAGGAATTTATACCCTTGCTAGACAAGTTGCAGATAGTTGCATAGTGTGTAGAAAAACCAACAAACAAACCCTAAAGAAAATGGGAATACCACATGCCATGGCATCTTTCCCTCATCAGGGAAAGTAGAAAGGCCTATTGCCCTGTTGAGAGTCCGAAATGCTCCCTGAAAAGACATAGAACTACCCCCTTAAGAGAAGCTTTATGGATTGCCTTATCTACATTCTACTACTGATCTTCCTCCATTTGAAAAAAAGATCAGTTTCTCAGAAATTATATACTTGGTTTATCTTCCACTTTGTCTTCCCTCAGAACTAAAGGTCTTTTAGCACAAGTGCCACCCTTAGAGTTTCCAGTACACCAACATCTGCCTGGGGACCACGTCCTCATCAAAAGCTGGAGAGAAGAAAATGCTTGAACCGGCCTAGGAAGGACCTTACCTAGTGCTCCTAACTACTGAAAGTGCAGTTTGGACAGCAGAAAAAGGATAGACCCATCACACCCTAGTCAAGAAAGCACCACCCTCTCCAGAGTCATGGGCCATAGTCCCAGGGGAAAACCCCACCAAACTAAAGCTAAGAAAAAGTTAACTCTCTTTCATCTATTCTATTACTCCTTCTTCTTTCCTCACTCTATTGCTGACCACCTCGTTATTAATGCAACCAAGTAAATTTTGCCTCAAACTATTACATTTAATGCTTGCCTTGTTATACCCTGTGGAGACTTCTCAAGTCAAAGACAGCTCTCCACTCAAAAAAGTACCTCTGTCCTTCCTGGCTCTACTCAGACTGGGCATTAGTAAATCGGGATCATTTAGCCTGGAGAGGTTTCGATGAAGACCCCAGTGTCAACTGGAAGTCTTGCCCCCCCGAGACAGAGCCTTTATGCTGCAACTGGTCCAATGTTCTGTGGACCACTAAAGAGCAAGGATGGACTGCCCCAACCAGTAGTTGTAATTTCCTAAAGCTATACATTTACTACTAAAAGAACAGCTTCCCCTAGCTGTCAGCTAAACCAGTACTATCCAATACAGGTTATTATCTCAAACCCTCAAAGTTCTTCCCCTTCTCTAAGCTGGCTCCCTTCTTTAAGCCGGTTTTATGGTATGGGGGCTGAGGCTTCAGGAACAGACTATCTGATCCTTTGAAATAAATACGCTTCATTGATCCCCCACCGCCTACACTTTCCCCTACGCCTTCTTCCAAAACCTCTCACAATGAAACTGTTTTTCCTCCTCCATGTAATGACAAGACCAAGGTAGCTATTGTAGAAGTTAAAGACCTAAAACAATCTTTGGCAATTGAGACAGGACATCAAGATGCTAATGCCTGGTTGGAATGGATCAAAGATTCCATCCGCACTTTAAACAAAAGCAGTTGTTATGCTTGTGTGCACGGCAGGCCAGAGGCCCAGATTCCCCTTTCCACTAGGATGTTCCTTCAGTCAATCAGGCATGGGCTGTATAGTAGCTCTTTTCCATGGTTCCACAGCTTGGGATAACAAGTCATGTCAAACTGTCTCTCTGCTATATCCCGAAGTTCAACACCCTGCGGGTCAGCCCCTGAGGGCCATTGAACTTCCATCTCCAGAAACTAAGTTCACTTCGGGTCTCTCATGACAAGGAGGAAACTTTGTGTTCCTTGGAGACCTAAAAGGATGCAGTGCGCTTAAGACTTTCCAAGAGCTTACCAATCAGTCAGCCCTTATTCACCCCTGAGCAGATGTATGGTGGTATCGTGGCAGACCTCTACTGGACACTCTACCAAGTAACTGCAGTGGCACTTGTGCTCTAGTCCAATTGGCTATCCCTTTCACCCTGGCATTTCATCAACCAGGAAAAGGAAAAACAACATTGTAAAGCAAAGGAAGCTTCTTATGAGTCTTTTGACTCCCACGTTTATTTAGATGCAACTGGAGTCCCACGAGGAGTACTAGATAAATTTAAAGCTCGAGATCAAATAGCTACAGAATCTGAGTCAATATTTTCGTGGGTGACAATAAAAACATAGATTGGATAAATTATATCTATTATAATCAGCAGAGGTTTATTAAATACACCAGGGATGCTGTTAAAGGGATAGCCCAACAATTGGGGTTGACTAGCCAGATGGTCTGGGAAAGCAGAATGGCTCTAGATATGATACTAGCTGAAAAAGGTGGTGTTTGTGTTATGATTAAACTCAGCATTGTACCTTTATCCCAAACAACACTGCCTCCGCAGTAACAAGGGCCTTACAAGGACTTACCGCTTTAATCCAATGAATTAGCTAAAAATTCTGGAGTCGACAACACTTTCTCAGGATGGCTAGAAAGGTGGCTTGGTAAACGGAAAAGAATCATAGCCTCAATTCTTACTTCTCTTGCAGCCGTAACAGGTGTACTCGTTCTTGTTGGGTGTTGTGTCATACCGTGCATCCGTGGGCTGGTGCAAAGACTTACAGAAACAGCACTTACTAAAACCTCCCTTAACTCTCCTCCACCTTATTCAGATAAGCTTTTCTTTTATGGATCAAGTCAAGCAGCAAAACCAAGATATGTTAAAAAGGTTTGAAGAGGAAAGACTATGAAAATTGAAAGGGGGAAGATTGTAGGATACAGTAAAATTCCTCTTCAAAGGTTTTAGCCTGTTAACTTACTTTAAAATCCAAGAGAGGAAAATCGTTAAGTACAATGAGTTCTGAGTTCCTCTTCAAACAGCCAATATGTCAGTATGTTCGGCTTCCCTGTTCTTTGTTCTCCATTTTAAAGTTTAACTTTCTCATTCTTTACATTTGCCCCTAGTTTCAGTAAACAACCCCCTCCTAGCCTCTATCACCTGCTCTGTCCTTAGTCATCCTTAGTCACCTCCTCTGTAACCATTCGAAACTATTCACCCTGCCACTCCGGCTCATATCCCTGCTCTATTTAAAATAGCCAACCAGAATTAGCTTAGACTGTGCAGTCTAACCCTAGACAATAGGGGAAAGACACAGCAGTAGCGACTAGCTGCATTAGGACAAGAACCCCTTTCCCTGCCTTGTCTGGTGTGCTCTTGCCATTACTCCATCTGTGAGACACACTCTTCTATAGAAGGAAATTGCTTTGCTGAGAAAACTTTTGCCTGAGTGCTATTTTCACTTGGTGGCACTGAACATTTACTTCCAACACAGGGATTATTTTTTTCCAACTTGATTGCTAATTCTCTTAATAGCATTTATTAAATAAATGATCTTTTCCATATTGATTTGAATTGTCAATTTTAACATAAACTATTTTCATTAAGACAGATTTTTTCAAATGAATTATTTTGCCAACACAGTATTTTTTGTTGGCTTTAATTAGCAGAGCCTTCATAAACATTAACATTTATTATTGGTACGTATCATAAACATAAGATAATAATATAAATAATAGACTTTTTATGAATAATTTTCATAAGGCTTAGGTATTCATGCATGTTTCCTCTTCTTTGTGAAATTTAGAATCCCAAATCCCTGCTGGTATTTTACTAAAATTTCAATGGATTCGTAATTTCAAAAATTGCATTTTAATTTATTGGCAAAAGTAAAATGTATCTATTTAGTTGGGGCTTCTTTTACACCTTTCAGCCAAATTTGATAGTTTTATTCCCATAGCTATTAGATGGTTCTCACCATGTTCCTTCTACTTCTGGGAAAAGAAAATGTATAAGATGAGCCTAAAACATGTTTTCAGACCAGAAAGCAAAGAAGCTGTCAAAGACTACTGGAGTTACGTCAAAAAGAACTCAGTAGACAAGTCGAATAAACATCTAGTCAAAAGATGAGAAAAAGTGGTTACAATAAATCCAGTATCTTCAGCAGATTGAACTGAGACTGTTTCAATCCCTATGTATGCAGTGACATGCACAAAATTACTTGTTAACTTTGGAGATTGCTAAGGAACTCATTATTTGAAAAAACAGGCAAATAAAGAGTAAAAATCAAGCATTTATCATACCTTTCGTATCTAAACTGTACAACAGGTGACCAAATATTTGAAATAGGAATGTTTCAATCTATTTATTTATTTATATGCTTCTGATAACAAAAAATTATTGCCATTTTGAAAAATTTTGTTAATTAAATGCATTGGGTAATGTAGTAAATGCTCAAGGAATGATAACTATTACGATGATTACCATGCAGGTAAATCTTTTGGATGTTTGGAGTTGGAGTAGTTGTAATCAATGGTTGCTAACATAACGTAACAGGCATTATGTACACCCTAATGAAAATCTACAATATCACTTATCAGGACTCTTACCATAAAAATGAAAAATGAAAATGAATCTGATCAAGCCATTAGATCCAACTATGAATACTTTAACAGATAAAGCAGAGATGCATTTAATGAAACGAACACTGTGAAAAACTCTATAAGACAAAAAACCCAATTCTTTCAATAGCAACAACTCCCCTCCTCCTGAAAAAAAATCACAAGAAAAAATACAAAGGGAAAACTATAGAATACAAGAGACTTAAGAGGCTTATCAAACAACTAGAACACCTGTTTTGTTCACTGATTCCAACAAACTAAAGAAAAAACAAGACAATGGTTATATGTGACCTAACTGTAAATAAGACGATATATTAAAATTATTGTTACTTTTTTTTTTTTTTTGAGACAGGGTCTCACTCTGTCACCCAGACTGGAGTGCAGTGGCACGATCTTGGCACACTGCAGCCTCTGCCTCTGGGGTTCAGGTGATTCTCCTGCCTCAGTCTCCTGAGTAGCAGGAGTGTAGCATTATGCTTGGCTACTTTTGTATTTTCAGAAGAGATGGGATTTCACCATGTTACCCAGACTGGTCTGGAATTCCTGACCTCAAGTGATCCACCCACTTTTGCCTCCCAAAGTGCTGGGATTACAGACATGAGCCACAGCGCCCAGCCGATGTTATTTTTTAAATGATATAATGAAATTGAAGTTATTTTTTTAAACTGCATTCTGGGGGGATTCCTTTACTTCGTCTTGCATCTTAAGAATGTAATCTTTACTGATACTTATATTGCTATTAACTCAATTTGTTGTATTTTTTCTATTTTAACAATCACTTTTTATAGTTTCCTAAACTCCCTTTCCTAAAAATTCGTTAACGTTTTATGACTGTCATAGCTTTTAAAGATTTCTTTTCAGACATTATGTTTTAACGTATTTAAATATATTCTTCTGCTCATTCATTTTTTTCCCATGAACGTTGTTGAATGCTGGATGTTTTGCTGACTGAATGTAGTGATTCATCATGTTGACTTTCCCTCAATTTTTACAACTCTTCTTTACATTTTCATATTTTTCAATAAATGTAATATCTAAAGTATGACTGACATATATACACACACACACACACACACACACACACACACACACACACATATATATATAGGAATTACCTGGATAACGAGTATGGCAGGAAGAGTGATTAAAGTGAGAAAAAACTCAGAGCTAGAATGGAAGTGCACATTGCTTAGCATGGCTAAAATAAAATTGCTAAAGAGATGTGATTATAATACAATAGGCCAGAGAGTTAAAATAGAAAACAAAAACAAAAACATGTTGGGCAAGGCTTTTTGTGCCACATAGGACATTTTAGACTGGGTTCTAAAATCAATGGATAGCAATATCAAATTTGTGGCTTATAAAGACCAGTATGGGAGAGTGGTTTCCAAGGAAATAGAAAGCAGTTCCTTAAGAAAATTAGCTTTTGAGATAGAGGCTTTGTTTAATAGCTGGCTTCACAACTTATAAGCTTTGTATATTAGGGCAAGTTATGTTACCATACCTTTCTAAATTTCAGTGCCTTTCAAAAATTGTAACTAATAATACCTACCTCACAGTGTTGTTGAAAGAATTAAATTAGATAATCTTTCATTGCACTTACCATGATAATGTAGTAAATGCTCATGGAATGATAGCTATTATGATGATTATCATGTGGGTAAAACTTCTTTTGGACATTTGGAGTTGGAGTAGTTGTAGGATATTTTTAAAAGCCAAGCAACTGGCATTTTAATCTGGTCAGAGATTCTTAGTGCACACCAAATATCTTCTATTTTCTCACCTTCCTTGCAGTAAGTTTGGACCATATGATTAGTTCTGGCCAATGAAATATGAGAAGTGGCATATGCCCATTCCATAAGAAACTTGTAAGTCATATGTTTCAGATGGCATGGATAAAATATAGAGGTGGAATACCTGATTTGCACAGGATTGTGGTATGAGGGGAAAGGAAAACTTTACTGTGTTGTTACTAAGATTTGAGGGTTTACTTGTTACTGCAGCCTATTCAATCTTATTAATATTCAAATTGACCAAAATGATAGAAGGTAGAATGGAGAACATGGAAAAATTTTTTAAACCACTGGAATATAGCCAAAATGTTTTTAAGAGAGAGCTTGTGATTTGGCTATAGATAAAATAGGAAAATTTTTGGACATTAAGAATAATAAAAAAGAACAAAGGGAACATATTGAAAGGGCAAATTCCAAGGCCCCACCACAACAATTTGAATATTTTACAAGTGACCCAGATGATAAAAAGTTTGAGAATCCCTGATCCATAAGAAGGCTTCAAGATATTACTCAAATAACTAAAATAGAAGGCAGAATGCATAATAATTATCATGTCAAATGTAAAAATAAAGTGTTAGGAGAGCTGACAGTATATTTCTAAGATATGTCCATATCTAAGTCTTTATTACCACTAGGAAAAGTATGAAGAAGGTGGCATTTGAGATGGAAGATAAGAGGATAAGATTTTGGTAGATGAATATAGGCCATTCAGATAAAGGGAATGGTACAAGCCGAAGGAGGGTAGAGATAGGTATTGCACCTGCACCTAAGGTAACCTGATAGCTGATATTCATATAAAGTGCCTAACAAGCTTTAGGGAGAAGATTCTTAAATTTAGGTTTCCAGTTTTAATTTCTCCCTCAAGATTCTGACATGAAGACAAATGGTTTTCTGGTTTCATGTATACTCCCAAACTTGACTTTACACTACAAAAACTTAGACATACTTTTTGAAAATGGCAATTTCCTGATTAGAGAAGTAGAATTTTTCTGCTAATACAGGCTGATTTTGTCATACATTTGTAATGCTGACTTTACACTACAAAACCTTACACATACTTTTTGAAAATGCCAATTTCATGATTAGAGAAGTAGAATTTTTCTGCTAATATAGGCTAATTTTGTCATAAATTTATAATGCTCTGTAGGCAAGACTTAAATGTATCACTTGTTTAGATTTTTTTTCCATAAATGGGTGGATTTCTAATCCTTCTTACCATGACAACTGTTGTATTTTCCTAGTCCTTCCACCAAATAATAGTTTTTAGGACTCTGCTTAGATTCTGAGTCATAAAAGTTCTCTGAGATGTGTTAATTAATGACTTCCAATGGAAACAGAGAAGGAGGTTGTGGGAGAGTCATTGATATTTACATCCTGTGGTAGTTGAGTTCAATTATACCATTGAAACCCAGAACAATGCAATGCTTTAAAAATCGACTTCTCATATTCTTAACTGTTCTATGTCTACTTATTCTGGAGAATTGTAGGTTACTTGCAGGCTTTGGGGGAAAAGGCTTTCATATTTTAACATAGGTGAGAGATCAGCAATTTGAGTCTATTGTTTGTGATGCCACTTTGTCATCTGCAACTACCACTATGGCACTTGCACAATATTTCTCTAACTACTTTTAGTACATTACTGTAGAAACACATGTTCACATACAAATATCTCTTTTGATTCAAACATTAATTTTATCTCAATTTCCTCCTCATTTAGGAAGTTTCCTCAAGACACATCTATGGGGGTCCCTTGAAGCAAGTGTCATAACATGGAACAGAAATATTCTCCATGTAAACCTCTGTGTTAACATTTCCTGCTATTTAAGATAGAGAGAATGACTTGTGTAATTTCCTACAATTCCTTGTTAGGGACAATATAAAAAGGCATAATGAGTAAAACTTTTCAAGACACCATCTTGCAATAAAACCGAGTCTTGGAACAAGGCATGTATTTTCCATCTATTTTAGGTACAGTTACATAGTGCTACTTAATGCCAAAATCAAAGCAGGAAGTAAGAAATTCATTTTGCCTTGTAAAGAAAGTATTAAGTGGATGTCCCAAGCTTCAGCGTTTATGGGTCATTAGGCTACCATTTTAAGACACTGGACTTAACAATATTAGCCTTTTCATCAAGTGGCTTATGGTTATATTTTCCCGCCTAAATTCCAGACTTGATAATGAGCGACAGGAGCTAGGGAGAAAGAAGCCTACTGACTTATGGTTTAATTTAAGAAATGCTCTTACTTTGAATGAGCTTAATTTTCTCTGAGTTAAGTTATGTGTGTAAGATAATGGGGTGGGTGGAACAGTTCATTACTTTTGATGTGCACAACTAACAAAATCATTCTTCCAGGGTGTTTCTTCCTAGTTCATTCATTCATTAACATTTTTAAAGAATTTATTCTATGCTAATGGTACTATTGTAGGTGCTAAGAGTAAATAAAGAAGTGACTAAGACACAGTCTAGTCCCAGGTCTCCAGAAATTAATACAGTTTAGGGTAATTAATATCACCCTTACATCCAGAAGAAGTTTTACATTATTAATCACTTAAACTTGATGTTTGCAACTGACTTATGCAAGTAAGCATGACTGGGAGAAATTCTGTCTGTTAAGAAGGCATCATATTCTAAACTGCTAATATAGAGAAGGAACAAATTTTCCACTCTACAAAATGTATGTACCAAAAGACAAATTTTCTATAACTGAACTTAGTTTCAGTCCCAAGTTCCTTTTCTGCCCAGTCGTGGGGAATCTAATCTTGTAAATTTAGGGTAAACTCAATCAATCTATGGTTATTATTATCCTGTTACATTTCTCTAGGCATTTAATTTTCTTGAGGCTTATGTAATATCATAACAACACAAGTCCAAGATCTGTTATCACAATTAAAACTAATAATCCATTTATATTTGCTTTCTATCCCTCTGTCTGTCTCTGGCCTCTACTTCATTGTTTTCTCTCCTGTAAGATAAGTTCCTTGGACAGAAGCAATTTTATGTGGTATACCATGATGGTCATGAAGGTTCAATGTATTAGTACTCAAGGCAGTCAACTTTTAACTAGCTAACAAAGGAATGGATCTGTTGAATTAGAAGGTGTGACTACCAGCAGCTGGACAGATAATTCTTTTTTTTTTTTTTTTTGAGATGGATCTGTTGGATTAGAAGGTGTTGACTACAAGCTGGACAGATAATTTTTTTTTTTTTTTTTGAGACAGAGTTCTGCTCTTGTTGCTCAGGCTGGAGTGCAATGGCACACTCTGAACTCACTGCAACCTCTGACTCCCAGGTTCAAGCGATTCTCCTGCCTCAGCCTCCCAAGTAGCTGAGATTACAGGCACCTGCTACCACACCGGGCTAATTTTTGTATTTTTAGTAGAGATGGGGTTTCACCATGTTGGCCAGGCTGGTCTTGAACTCCTGACCTCAGGTGATCCACTCACCTCGGCCTCCCAAAGTGCTGTGATTACAAGCATAAGCCACAGTGCCTGGCCTGGACAGATAATTCTTAGCTGGCATTTTGAGACCTTTCAGTCAGCTGGTATTCAGTAGATACATGTTTGTGGTGCAATAGGCTGATTTGCACAAGATTAGGTTTACTGCAATCTCAATGTTGTAGGCTTGCAATGTTGAGAGGCTGTTGTCGTATAAAACAGTAGAAGACTCAATTACACTGCAAGCCTGGAGACAAATTCTTGTGAGGGTGAGGTGTTCTCCTGTAAGATGCCTAATATCCTCTGAACTCATTAAATGGTGCATTCTCTTTCATAGTCACAGTATTTGCTTTTATACAACTCTGGGATCTTCTTGTCCACATGTTTGAGAATCCATGGAGGAACGCTTTGACTAGAGATCCTATAAGAGTTCCATTGAATTGGAATCTGAGCTTGCTGCCAGACAATTCTAGACTCCAAATGGCATTTAATGAAAGACAAAAATATTCTCAGGATTGTGGTGTGGGCTTGGGTGACAGCCTGACTCTCAACAGGAAACAGGTTTGCTACTATAAGCAGGAATGGAAAAGAGTATGAATAGAGCCCAGGAGATCTCCGGTACATCCGTGTTTATTAAGCAGAATAAAAAGCGGTATCATAGAGGCAGGACTTCCAGGAGTTGGTTTCTAAGAAATGAAGTTGTAGGCCATAAACTTAGGCAATAAACTCAGACCAGATTAGATGTTAGCTAAAGGAAAAAAAAAGAAACAAGTAAATGAGATAATTAATGAGATACGGAGATTATCAATACCAACTATAGCCTTATAACCAGTTATAGATACAAAGTAGAGAATACCTGCATTTTTTTCTTGCAGTCATATGCACACACACACACACACACACACACACTCTGATAATTATCTCTCTGATAATTACTCTCTTTTCTTCCCTTTCACATTATTTAATGTTAGTTCATACTTTAAAGATTATCAATACAGAATTATGTTGGAATAAAAAAGGAATAGCCATTCCCCAGAGATCTTGAAACTGAATGTGGTAACTGGTAAGTCTTTGTGGAAGAAATGAGTGTATATTTGATGTGCAAGGCATAGTTATAATGTGCCACATGTGATCACACAGGTAGTTTTATACATCCAAATGTATATTAGGAAGTGTTAATAGGAAAAGAACTAGATATTTTTTGTATGCCAAGTGCTATAATTCTTTTCTACATTGGATTATTCTTACTTTGTAAATTTTGGTGGGAGACACACCCCATTTCTCAATATAAATGCTAATAAATTCTTTATTTTCAATTTTCCAGCTTTCCTTGAATCTGAGGAATAGACACCTGCTCTTACCCGAATGTCCCAAGATAAATAGACTAGAGTAGTTTGTCTTCGCTAGTGATGGCAGTGATGTAATTGGTGTAGGCAGTGGTGGCAATGGTGAAGAAATGACAGTTGAGGTGGTGAAAATGATGACAACGCGTAGCAAAAATGGCAGTCTGGTCTGTGGTGCTACATGGGAGTCAATTTTCCAAGTACAATAATGGAAGTGTTCTAGGGTCAGTATTGAGTAGTTTCTCTGGTAATAGCAACAATGTAAGGGCAACATCTAATATTCATTGGTGTACTCATTAGACCAGTCCTGAGGTGTGATTTTGAGGCATTTTGACTTCACTGTCTCAACTTCATTGACTCTGAGACTGGTTCTCTTGAACTCCCAATGATTCTGGGAGCAACCCAATATGTAATTAATTTAATCAATTTTCTGCTTAAATAAACCAGAATCAGCTTTGGTTGCTTGCAATTAATTAACTTGACTAAGACCTGTTGATTTAAAGCCTTCCTCTGAGAGAAGGGAGAGGGTCAGGGAGAGTTTTGTCAATTTTCTTGACAACAAAGATTTCTTCATTCTTCTCTGATTACATTCTTCCTTTGGATATGAGCCTTGCAATTTCCTCCCCATATCTAGATTAAACCACAAAAAACCTTTCTCCAATAACATGTGTGTGTGTATGTATGTATATATAAATGTATATATATACACATATATATGTGTATATATAGAGAGATATATATAATATTATATTTTATAAAAATGTAAAAGACTAATCTAGTATTTGGGGAAGTTATACATATATATATATATATATATATATATATGTGTATCTCTATATATATACATATATGTATATATATGTATAACTTCCCCAAATACTAGATTAGTCTTTTCTTACCTTCAATAGAAGTTTTCTTATATGCTATCTTCTGGGATTTCATGTTGGGCGGGGGTGGGGAGGGGATTCTCTCATTGAAAAAAAAAAATCTCAAGTGGTTTATAAAATCTTATTTTTAATCAAGTTTTTGACTCAGTGTGAGAGAGAAAAAAGCAAAAAGACTACTTAAATAAAACTGGAAAAGACCTTTAACTAAATGCTGTGTACCTGGAAATTTTGAGATGACTAAGTTTAATACAAGTTAAAAGAATTAAACTACTGTATATTTGTTACAAAAAGGATCAAAGAGAATTACCCATTTGGAAAATGATAAATACTTCATGCTTCTTGAAATTAACTTGATTATAACATACATTCATTTAAAAGAAAAAAATAACATTTTAGAGGGGCACTACACACGTGCAAGAGAAAAGAATAGAAAATTTCCAAATTCTGTATGTTTCTTTATATTATAATTTATAGTAATTTAAAGAAATATGTCTACCACTGTCTTTTTTTGTGTTTTTAACTTATTTTTTGTTCTGAAAAATTTAATAATAAAAACTACACCTCTTATCAGAAAAAACTCTCCCACGAACAACATTTTGCACATAATTTTGCGGGATTCATGGGACCTTTGAAGCCCCTTTATTAATCCTTTTTTAGGATCCTTGGTTATCATGTTAAACATCTCTAATCTCCAAAGGAAATCCAATAAATTTTTCAGCCAATTACGATTAAATTTATATTATTATAGTATTGATTTAATTTTTTATTTAAGAATATAAGCTTAACTTATTATAAATAATAATCTTATTCCATTGAGTATCTTAGGAATAGAGTTTGATGAAGCATAATACATTAAAGAATAAATGCCATTAATTCTTTTTAAAACAGGATCCTTCTTCTATTTGATTGAAGTAGTACTCTAAGCAGAAGAAAGGGCAAAGAAATCTTTAGTTAAAACAAAAGTAATACAAAAATTTGAATCTGAGCAGTCACAGCTGTTCACAACAGCTTATTGTAAGAAAGTCAGTTACTGGTTATTTGTACTCCCTAGCAGGTAGGCATGTGCCACCTGCTGGTCAGATAGTTTGAGCTGCGAATATTCTCAGTATGTTACATGCATGAGTCAGGAGCCTGGAGTGTGGATATATTTTTACAAAGCAAAACCTGTTGAGAGTCTATCTATCTATCTATCTATCTATCTATCTATCTACCTATCTATCATCTATCTATCCATCTTCTATCTGTCTTCTATCTACTCTTCCAAAAGGAGGTATTTCTATTGTAGCATAACTCTAAATGCCCATAGATTTAATTTATGAAGCTATGATGTTAGTTACATATTGAACTGAAATCTACTCACTGCACAAACATAAACGTTTGCTTTGATGCTGTTGTTTTCCCTATTTATTGAATCTCCCTTTTCACCAAAGCAGATATATTATTAGAGAATTTTCAATGAAATTATAAAAACAATCCTTGGCGAGGACTTACCTATTTATCTATCTTTCACAGTCTGAGATGGAGATAAACACTAAGTGGCCTGTCAAGACCTCTTATGCTGATGTTTGAAGATGTACGGATAATTACTGGAACTAAACATGTATAAGATAATAAAAGAAGTCTTCATACACTCAAAACTGTTATTATATAATCCATTTTATCAGATAACATTGTAATTGGATTATTAATCAATAATAAAAAGATGATAAGATACTCTTTTGAGAAAAAAGATATACTCCATACAATCAATTGGTTAAAATGAAATTTGTAAAATATTATAAAGCAGCAGTCAAAGTACAGTCAGTCCTCTGTACCTGTGAGTTTCACATCCATGGATTCAACCAATCACAGATCAAGAATATTTTTAAAAGCATTTCATTTATGTACAGACTTTTTCCTTGTCATTATTCCCTAAAAAACACAGCATAGTAACCATTTACATAACATTTACACTGTATTATTATACTAATATAAATAATCTAGAGATGCTTTAAAATATATGGGAGGATGTGCAGAGATTATATGCAAATACCATGCATATTATATCAGAGACTTGAGCATGTTGGTGTCCATATGGGTCCTGGAACCAAGCTCCCATGGATACTGAGAGGCAACTGTACTCTATATCAAAACTTGTGGAATGCAGCTAAAGCAGTACTATAGGGAAATTCATGGCTTTAAGTTCTTGTATTATAATATGAAAAAGATTGTGAAAAACTAAGCATTAAACTTAGCAAGTTGGAAAAAATGAAAACAGAGTAAAGACAAAAGACACATAAGAAAAGAGCAAAATGAAAAGAACAGAAATTAATAAAATAGTAAATAGATAAAATGATACACAATTACAGGCTGTGTCAGCAGAGCTAAATGATTGTGAGCAATTGTAAATGGTATGGACATACAGAGGAGGAACAGATTGGCTATGAGGGAATGGAAGATAAGTGCTATAGTTTGAAGAATTCAACCTTTGGAGTTATTTGATTAGAGCCATTTGCCACTTGCTATAGATATGTGACCTTTAAGTCATGGAGCTTCCCTAAGTCTAAATTTTCTTGTTTGGGATGGGAATAAATAATACCTATTTTAAATAATACTTACTTCACAAGGTTTTGATGAGAAGTAGTTATTGACTTTATTTAATATACGTCAGCTTTGGCTCTCACTGTCTCACGAGTGATCTGATACAGAGAGTTTCATTCAAGTTTCTGAAATGCTTAATGTATACATTTTTACATGTCATTCATAGCCTATAATATATATGTAAAAGGAAACAAAACATCTTTATTATTAGAATTCTAGATTTTAAAAACTCTCTGGATTGAAAAATCATACTGCTTCCCAGTTAACTCTGCCAATTTTCCTCCACATTAAAAAAAACCCTCCCATTTTTAATCCATTCAATACATATTCACCATGAGTCACTGTGTGCCAGGCCCTGGCCTCAGCAGTCACGTGTCTTGGCTCACTCTCAGCTGACGGATGGCCATGGTCTCTTGGAAGCCGACTTAATTATTTTTTGTGGGTCATTTTGTTTTGGGTGAAAACATGTTTTGTGTTTACAATTGTGGAGGGCCGGGTAAACATCGGTTGCAACCAGAAACAAAAAAAAGAGCTTATTTGAAGTTTTTAATGTTGTTTAATTTTTTCCCCAATGGTTTGACTATGTGTATTGGACTACATACAACTTTTTGCTTCCTTAACCAAATCTATTTATGTGGACCTGTTATACTGTTGTTAAACCACCATTTGGAACTTTATCGTTCACTTGCAAATGCTGCAGTCATGGAGCTACCATTTGTGTGAAAAAAAAGCAGGTTTATGAAAAAAGATTTGTACTGAAGATGTATTTAGCATTCTATACATTGAAGTTACATAATATCCTACTATTTTTGGCTACAGTCATTATAAAAACAAAGTGGCAGGAAAAAGTCTCTTGTAAAGAATAAGAATATTGCATCCTTCCAACCTGTGATTCTTTGAATGTTATAGTACATTATCAAGAAAGAAAAGATACCTTTTTTTTTTTTTTTTAAAGACAGAGTCTCACTCCATCACCCAGGCTAGAGTGCACTGGAATGATTTTGGCTCACTGCAACCTAGAGGCATGTGCCACCATGCCAAGGTAATTGTTGTATTTTTAATAGAGATGGTGTTTCACCACGTTGGCCAGGCTGGTCTCAAACTCCTGACCTCAAGTGATTGCCCTCCTCAGCCTTGTAAAGTGCTGGGATTACAGGCGTGAGGCACCGCACCCAGCCACCAAATTTTTAAAAATTTTAAAATCCAATGTAGTTGTCAATCTTGGCAATCAGAACAATTAACTGCCCAGCTAATACAATGAGTCACGCTAGAAATGCTTCTTAAAACAAGCATAACAACCACCACCACGACCACCATCATCAAAACCTAAGATTTAGTGGAAAATGGTTTTAGTGGCCTCTTAAAGGTAAGCCATTCTAAAATATACATGGAATTAATGAATAGACCTTTTAAATATTAATTTTTCTTTTTTATGTTTGTCGACATTCTTTGACATGTTGATTCATGCTGGGATAAGCATGAGTTTTCTTGTACTGATTTTAAAAGCTCCTAATAGAGATACATTGAGATCCTGTGAACACCAGACGGAATGCATAGAAATCAGTCTTTTTTTCTCTGCCATATGGAGAGCTACTGTACCAAAAATGTAGTATCCCAGAGGCCACTACAAATCTGTGGCATAGTGTGATATTTCATAGTTTATGAAAAGAAAACAGAAGGAGGCAGAAAGAAAGGAATGGTGGGAAGGAAAGTGAGAGAAAACACATCTGCAAGTAAGATGCTTTTAGGGTCTGTTTGTGGCCAGTGGGATGGAAAGGATCACTGCTGGAGTAGAAAACAAGCAATAGTTAGTACAACTGAATTGCTTGAATATTTTCCCAGAGATCTAATAAATATTTATTAAATATTTAAAGAATTAAGAGTTTTAGCTAACTGTATGTATCATAACGAAGATTTGAGAATAAAAGCTGTCGTCCCTTAATTGAGTGACAGGGTCACATAATAATCATTTTATCCGACCAGGCATGGTGGCTCCTGCCTGTAATACCAGCACTTTGGGAGGCTGAGGTGGGCGGATCATCTGAGGTCAGGAGTTGGAGACCAGCCTGGCCAGAATAGTGAAACCCCATCTCTACTAAAAATAAATATTCTTTATTATGCCTGCCTCATATTCAACTGTGAAACATGCTTTATTTATCAAATTCCTTACTGATGAACACTTAATTTGTGTCCAGTCTTTGATATTGTTAACTGGTATAATAGGTAACCTTAGGCAAATATAATTTCACACATTTGCAAACATTTCTGTACAATGGATTCCTCAATTGGAAATGCCAGGTTAAATGGTGTGTGCATTTTTTTTAAAAGCCTTATTGAGGTATTATTGACATACAATAAACTATATGTAATTAAATTGTTCATTTTGATACATTTTGACATATGTATTCAACCATGAAAGCACCACCACAATCAAGGTTATCATTATAGCCATCACTCTCCACTGTTTTGCTTTTTCAGTATTACAAATAAAGCTGCTATGCACATCCATGTATATATCTTTGTATGAATATATGTTTACTTGGGCAAATACCTAGTGGTGGAATGGCTACATCATACGATCATATGATGAGTGTATGTTAAACTCATACATCATATGACCAGTGTATGTTTAACTTTTAAGAAACGTCCAGACTTCCGAACTGTTTTCCAAAGCGGCTGTATCATTTTACATTTCCACCAGCAGTATATAAAAGTTCCAGTTACTCCATATCCTCACCAATACTTGGTATAGCCAATTGTTTTTATTTTAGCCATCCTAATATGTGTGCTCTAGTATCTCACTGTGATTTTAATTTGCACTTTTATAACAATTAATGATGTTGAGCATTTTTTGAAGTATTTATTTGCTGTCTGTATATCTTCTTTGGTGAAGTGTGTGTTCAAACATTTTTTCAGTTTTTCAAATTGTGTTGTTAGGTTTGTTATTAAGTTTTGAGTTCTTTATATATTCTAGTCATTGATCAGATATATGTTTTGCAACATATTTCCTCTCCTATGTGATTTGTCTTTATTCTCTTAAGAATGTCTTTCAAATAATAAACATTTTTAATTTTGATGAAGTCCAGTATATCAGTTTGTTCTTTTCTGTATCAGGCTTTTCTGCCTCAACCTCCCAAGTAGCGAGACTTACAGGCTCCCACTACCGTGCTCAGCTAATTTTTGTATTTTTAGTAGAGATGGTGTTTCATCATGTTGGCCAGGCTGGTCTCGAACTCCTGACCTCAAGTGATCTACCTGCCTCGGCCTCCCAAAGTGCTGGGATTACAGGTGTGAGCCTTTGCACCCAGCCAAACTTTACAACATTCTAAGGGACTCACTTGTGAAATAACAATTTAATTATTTGAACTTTCAATAAAGAATATTGCATCTGTTATCACAAAATTATGGTAAATTTAACAGCAATTAACTTTACTATGAAAAACTGTTTTGTGAATTACAAGTTTTGCCTGAATCTCTTGGACAGTTAGAGAAAGGTCCTGTAGTATTTTAACATTTTCTAATTAAAATAATTATTTTCAAATATACCAAAAAGCCTAGGTTAGCTCATAAGAATGTCAATTATAACAAGTTACTAAACACCCAAGATTTATATTCTTTTTTTCCTCTCTGTCTCTATTTCCCTAGTTTCCAGCAAAATTTTTACTTTTTTGCATGGTTGCACATTCTAATTATCCACGCAGGAAAGAAACCAGAGCAGACTCTGACCACATACTAATTAATGCTTATCTGCCCTGCTCTAGCAGCGATCTAAATCAGGTTTGGAAATGAGGCATTAGTTCCTCATACATCTGGCTATAGTAGGCCAGAGGGGATTGTTCCTATATGAGGTCCTCAGCCATGCAGTTGCTTACTTAAGAGCTATTTTCTGGATTAATAGCATGTGAAGCAGGGTGGGCTTTATTCTCAAGACAGCACAGCAGGAGCTACAGTTGGGCTTCTAGGACATTTTGGTAGAAGAATCTGAAAGACAGTCCTTGGATGATTACAGAAAATCTTTAGAGGATTCTGTAACATTGGTAACTGCCCAAGAAAAAGAGTGAGGCAACCCACAGGGACAACAAAAACAAGGCAGAAATGTGGCCTTTGCAGCTTCTACCACAATGATCCCATTGACATCTTTCCCCTTAATAGCTTCTTCTTTTTATTTAGTGTCTTGATGCTGTTTTTTGTTTGTTTTTCTTTTCCTGTTTGTCCACGTGCTTCTTCCCAACTTGTTTCCTTGGTAGGACCTTTCTTTGTCCTTCTCTCCCAAGGCCAGATATGCATTATTTTTCTTCTTTTCCTTTCTTTCCTGGAGTACTCACCAAAATGCTTGGCATCAACTGCTAATTCTAAGCTATTGATTCCAATATCAACAATCTTGTCCTCTCACCAGTCCCAAATGCCTGTTGGACAGTCCATCCAAGTGCTCAGCTGTTGCTGAACTAAACATATCAAAGTGAATTTAGATACTTTTAACAGTCCTTGGCCACATAGCACCTCACTCACATCGGTGTACACTGAGTGCAAGGGACAATCAATGAGTGAGACAGATGGACCCCTATGCCCTTGAGGCTCAATGACTAGCAGGAGAAATAGGTATTAAGCAAATTGTCAAACAATGCTTATTCTAACTATGATAGTTAAAAGTTATTGCTTATTTTGGGCATTTAGGAAGGTGTCTGTAGACGCAAAATATTTTCGACTTCATACTCCTTTTATAAGAATGTATTTTTTCTTGTATTCTTTTGAAAAGTTTCAGAATTCTTTATGCCTGCCCTTTCTGATTCATTCTTGCAAATGGATTTCTTTCAGCAGTCTTGAAAAATCAAACTCTCTGAATTAGCAAATTTAGTGAAAAGCTACTTAGAAGACATTTTTGATAAATTTAGAGGTTGAAAATATTTATAAAAAATAAGTCTTGTTCTGTACTTAATAATCATGAAAAAATATCCCTGTAAAATTCTTATGGACAGGCCCCTTTCAAAGACATCTGGATTTCAAGGAGTAAAGGCTTTATTCTAGGAAGTCTCTCAATGTTAGCTGGGTATCATTGAGTAATTATATTCAAATAAATGTCTACAACTCTAGAAGAAACATACTGCTATTTTCTTTATTAGATAAAGGAATCCTCAGATTTCATATATGTCTCTTCTCTATGCATTAAGTTGTCCTGCTAGATTCATTGTTTAAAAAGCAATGCAAATGAGAGTATTTATTGAACACTTCCATGAGGAAATGACATTTTAGGTAGGCCATGAGGACTGAATAGGAGTTGGCCAAGTAAGACAGAATTAAAAAGAAGTACAGTTTAAAAGCTTTGAGAAGGAGAGGGGCAAAGTAAGTTAGAATAGTTCAAGGAAGGCTGTGTGGCTGAACTGTAGTGAATGTAGATGCCTCTTAGTCATATAAGCTACATAAGTAATTTTAAATTATTACTTGGGAGATAGGTGACACTTGGAATGCTCCTCTGGGAAGCTTACGTAAGAAAATAGAGCCAGAGGGTTTAAACCATCACCACCAAATTATGGTCATCACTATAATCAGCATCACTACTCTCATTTTAAGTGTTAAGTGCTAAATGAATTACATACATTTTCTCTAATTTTCACTAACTGTATATCACACATAATGGTATCATTTAACAGGTAAGAATACTGAGACTCAGAAGTACCTGAAAAGACTTTGTTGAGGTAGTGACATCTGATTTGGAGCCAAATATGTAAGTGTTAGCGAAAGAGGAAGGCAGAGAGGAGTATTACAGACAAGGAGAGTGGTATGAACAATTTAGGAAGGATTTTGTCAAGATCAGATTAATGTTTTATAAAGTGCATTCTAGCCATGGAATGAAGAGAAGATTGGAGGAGGGGACTGGAAACAGGGAGACAAGGTAGGAGAGTGCTGCATTCACCGGGGTGAAAGATGACCATAGACTAAACTAATGTCTACCATTAATGGAGTGGATGAGAGAATGTGAAAGTTGAGGAGATTTAAGAAATATTTAGGAAGTAGAATAGGTTGTCAGCACAATCCAATAGAACTTTAGAGAGTAGGCTGGGAGTGGTGGCTCACGCCTGTAATCCCAGCACTTTGTGAGGCCGAGGTGGGCGGGTCACCTGAGAACACGAGTTTGAGACCAGCCTGGCCAACATGGTGTAGCCCCATCTCAACTAAAATACAAAAATTAGCCGAGCATGGTGGCATGCACCTGTAATCCTAGGTACTCAGGAGGCTGAGGCAGGAGAATTGCTTGAGCCTGGGAGGTGGAGGTTGCAGTGAGGTGAGATCATGCCACTGCACTCCAGCCTGGGTGACAGAGTGAGACTCCATCTCCCAAAAAAAAAAAAAAAAAAAAAGAACTTCAGAGAGTAAAGGAAATTGTCTATCAATAGGGTAGCCCATAGCCAAGTGTGGATATTGAGCACTTGAAATGTATTAGGTTGGTGCACAAGTAATTGCAGTTTTTGCCATTACTTTTAATTGCAAAAACTGCAATTATTTTTGCACCCACCTAATTGTGCAACTGAAGAACTGCATTTTAAATTTTATTAAATAGCAATTAATTTAAATAGCCACTTGTGACTCATGGCTACTCTACTACAGTTCAGAATTGTATAATTTTAGATTGCTGAAAGTTTTACATATCCTCACTTTAATTACAAGATCTTTTAAGATAACTTTGTGCTGTCTATCCAAATTTGCACACTTCTTTGGTGAGTTTGGTTGTCTTTCTACTGTGCAAACATATGTAGTACTTAATTTTACTTCTATATTTACTTATATTGTAACCCTTTTCTATATTGGTCAGTTGTCTTTTTTTACCTGTTGGAAAGTGTCAAGTCCCATTTTTCCAGGAAAGTTTTAATAGCTTGTCTTTCTCATTAATATGCCTTCCCTTGAGCATCAATTACATTAGTCTATATCACATTATCTCATGACAAATCATTGCTTACCTCTTGCTCTTTCATATTCTTTATTGGTGCAATGAATTGAAGCTGGGTCTCACACTAAACTCTAAGATGCTTGGAAGGAGGGAAGATATCCTTCATGTCTTCTATATTTCTTCCTCCACCCCCACTGTTCAGCCTATAGTTGGCATAACAGCAATTCTTAAAGACAAATACTTGCTCACTACTCTGAGCCTACTCATTACAATGTATGCTACGAGATTTCTGGTTCCTTAAGTGTATTTGTTCTTTTCAATTAGAAAAAGTCTAAACTAGTGAAAAAAAAATATGAATGTCTTTTTTTTTTTTAAAGTGGGGGATACATGCTATTTTAGCCTCTATTGACTATTTTAAGTAGGTAGTCCCCAAGGATGCCTGCCATCAATTCCTTCCCTCATAATACGTGCATGCTGCTCTACCCTGTAAGTCAAGTCAGCCACCCCGCTCCCTCCAACTCCTTACAGTGGCCTTGAGACTTGCTTTGACAATTAGAAATCAGTGACACTGTGCCAATTCTGGGCCGAGGCTTTCGGAGACCTGGCAGCTTCCACTTTGGCTCTGGGAAAGCCAGCCACTGTGTTGTGGAGAAGCTCAGGAGAGACTCGAGAAGGAGGAGAAACCACAGAGCAGCTACTTGGGGGAAAGGCACTGAGCTGCCAGACATGGGAATGAAGCCTTGTTGGATTTTCCAGTCTGGCCAGCCTCTAGCTGAATGCAGCCATATGTATGACCCAAACTGATGCTACATGGAGCAGAACTGCCTGGCCAAGCCGTGCCCTAATTTCTGACCCAAAGAATCATGAAAAAGAGTAAAATCATGTTGTTTTGCATGACTAAATGCTGGAGGGCTAGTTATGCAACAATAGATAGCTGAAGTATTATCATTAAAAATAATAGAAGATTCAGTTATAGTAAAATAACTAACCTCCGTTTGGTCACCTTCCTGATCTACACTCTCTCTTAACTCTTGCAAGTTTATGGCCTCCCTTTACTGAATAGCCAGTGGGTGGAGCCAGTTGACTCTGTGATAATGGAAAACAAATATCCAAACCAACCCAAGACCTTCAAAACATCATGTGAAATAAATTATATGCTTAAATATGAAGTGTGAAATTCTGAAATTGAAAAGATTTTGCATTCTATGTGCTCTCTTAAGTGTAAAATTTACTTTGGAAACATTTACTTGAGACTAGGTTTACCTAAATAATCATACATGGTCCCTTAGAAAAGTGTTACTTGATTAAAATATTGGATTTACTGTCCCTAGACACTTATTCATGACAGATCTTAACTCTGTTATTATTTGTAGTATTTTAAAGTTGATTTTAAAAGTGATAGTCTTCCGACTGTCTTAGCTATTAGCAAGGTGGTAATTTATGAGGTTGGTGAGACACTGATCTTACTTGGTCACGAAGGTAACTTTAAGCAAACAGCATTAGTGATATTAACAATTTGAATGTTTGAAATGATTGAATTGTTTACATACTTGATCCACTTTGTACGGTTTAAAACCAGGTGGTTATTTGATCCAGAGAGAAGGCAGGTACTCAGAAAACATGTTTTGGCCACTCATCACAATGTCTTCCCTCATCTGTCACTCCCTAAAATTAAACAACTAGCCCATTTTTGCTGTGATATAAGTTTATTTTATTTTAAGCTGTGTCTTCATAGAGCAGGTCAACTAGCTAAAGTAATTATAAAGCTATCCACAGAGGTTAGAGAACTATGTATTTTCTTCAATTCCTGAGGGTATTTTAAAGGTGAGCATAGGGCAATGCTGGTATTTCTGACTTATCTTTGGCTAGGATAGTTGTTGGAGCCAATAGCGCAAATGTTCCATGATGAAGCTATACCCTGAAGAAATGCTCAGTCCAATTTGTTTTGGATTATGTGTGAGCTGATACATCACTTGCCAGGCAAGGTAAATATATTTTATCCTTATATTATAAGCATACACTGTTTCAGGGACATTCTTCAAAAAGTATGTTCCCTTCTTTCTGTTTTGTTGCTCTCATTGGAGACTCAACAGTGTTTTTTTTTTTGTTTGTTTTTGTTTTCTTGTTTGTTTGGTCTTTCTCTTCATGTGTTTTTCTCATTAGCCTCTCCTTAACCAAGCTATTTTGTAAATAAGTCCTTCTGAAAATAATGGTTAATAATCATTGAATTTACAAATTGAAGTCTTCTCTAATCTTGTGAAATAATAAAATCTCAGAAATGAAAAGAACTCCGTGATTCACAATAACCAAGATATGGCATTAATGTAGGTGCCCATCAACAGTGGATTGGATAAGGAAAATGTAGTACATATGCACCATCAAAATACTAGACAGCCATAAAAACGAACAAAATCATGTTCTTTGTAACACAGATGCAGCTGGAGGCCATTATTCTAAGAAAATTAATTCAGGAACAGAAAACCAAATACTGCACATTCTTACTTATATGTGAGAACTAAACTTTGGGTGCTCATGGACATAAAGATGGCAACAACAGACACTGGGGACTGATAGAGGGGGATGGGAAGGATGGAGGCAAACTTTGGGGAACTGTGCTCACTATCTGGGTGACAGGATAATTTGCATCCCAAACCTCAACATTATACAATCTATCTATTTAACAAACCTGCACATGTACGTCAGAGATCTAAAAGTTGAAACTATTTAAAAAACAGAGCTCGATGACTCAGTCAGTATAATCTTTACCCAATAATGTATCTCCTTGCTAACTTTTACTTGGTCTATAAGTGCCAGAAGGAGCTTTAGCTCTTAGATCTAGTACAGTGCCTAGTGCATAGCAGACATTGAATTAATGTCTGCTAAATCACTGATTCAGTGAATGATGGTTTATTACGTTATAGTAAATGTAACTTATCTTTGATTTTTAGCATATTCCAAGGGCTTTATGTTATTAATTTAAATGAATTTTAATAAATATAAACTTTTTATTATAAAATCTCCAAAATAAAAGTTTAGACATGTCATAATTTATATTTATATTATTAAAATTTATTTTTAAAAATTATATTCCTTTCTGTATTGTGCTAACTATAGCAACAGAATTTGAGTATACTTTCAAAGTTTTATCATTTAAAGCTTACTTCACTATGATGAATTTATAAGCACAGAACTTGAAAGAGTCAGCAAAATGGAAATAATAAATGTTATCGATATGTATTACTTTTCTTAGGGCTGCTGTAACAAATTACTGCAAGCCGAATTGCTTAAAACAACAGAAATTTATTCTTTCACAATTTTGAGGGTCAGAAGTCTAAAATCAAGGTGTTCCAGGGTCAGGCTCCTTCCAAGGTCTCTAAGAAAAACCTTTCCTGGCCTCTTCCAGCTTCCTGTGGTTACTGATAATACTTGATATTCTTTGCCTTTGGTGGTACAACTTCAGTCTCTGCCTCTATCTCCACATGGCCTTGTTCTCGGTCTGTATTTTTCCAAGTCTCTCTCTCCTTAAGCACACCACTCCACTGCTGACATATATTAAGGAAGACCTAAATAAATGGAAAGATATATAATGTTCATAGATCAGAAGATAAATTTGGATCAGATGTCAATTATTCTCTGATTTGTCCATAGAATCAATGCAACCCCAATGAAAATCTCAACAAGACTTTTTGTGGACCTTGTCTAGCTGATTCTAAAATTTATATGAAAATGAGAAGGATTAAAAATGAAAAAACAATTTTGAAGAGGATCAAAGTTGGAAAATTTATACTACCTGACTTTAAGAGTTATTTTAAAGCTATAGTAATCAAGACTCTGTGGCATTGGCTTAAAGAAAGACAAATAGGTAAATGGAATAGGATAGAGTCTAAAAAATGGACTCATAGATATATGTTAATTTTTGGCAAAGGATGCAAAGATTTTTCAATGAAAAAGGGTAGTATTTTCAACAAATGGTGCTAGCAAAATCTGATGACAATGTGTAAAAATGAGAACTTTGATTAGAAAAACCAAAATAAATTATAGAGATAAACGTAAAACCTAAAACTAAAATTTTAGGGGAAAGTATAGAAGATGATAATTTTTGTGATCTCACATTAGACAAATATTTCTTAGTTTTGACATCAATATTATGATTTATAATAGATAACGTTGAAGAACTAGATTCATCAAAATTAGAAACTTCTTCTCTTTGATAGACAGGAGAATGAAAACACAAGCCACAGACTGTCAGAAAATATTTTGTAAACCACATGCGATAAAGGTCTTGGATACAGAATAAAGAATTCTCAAAACTCAGAAATAAGAAAACCAACAACATAATAAAAAAATAAGTAAAATATATGAAGACACTTCACCAAAGAAGATACGTATACACATAGCAAAAAGACATAGGAAAATACGTTCAACATCATTTGTCATGAAGCCACATGAGATATTACTACACATCTGTTAGATAAGCTAAAATTTAAAAGACCATCATAAATGTTGGCAAGGATGTGTGCAACCAGATCTCTTATATACTGTTGTGGTAAAGAAAAGTAGTAAAACTCTTTTGAAAAAAAAGTTTAATAGTTTCTTTTTCTTTTTGAGACAGAGTCTCGCTCTGTCCCTAGGCTGGAGTGCAGTGGCGCGATCAATCTCCACTCACTGAAACCTCTGCCTCAGGGGTTCAAGAGATTCTCCTGCCTCAGCCTCCGGAGTAGCTGGGACTATAGGCGCACACCACCATGCCCGGCTAATTTTTGTATTTTTGGTAGAGACAGGGTTTCACCACGTTAGCCAGGATGGTCTCGATCTCTTGACCTCATGATCCGCCCACCTCACCCTCCCAAAGCGCTGGGATTACAGGCATGAGCCACCGCACCTGGCCTTAATAGTTTCTTAAAAAGTTAAACATACACATTCCATATGATCCAGCTGTTCCACTCCTAGGTACTTACCCAGAAGTAATGAAAACATACGTCCACAGAAAGAGTTGTACATATATGTTCATATCAGTTTCATTTGTAATTGCCCAAAGTTCGAACAACCAAAGTGTCCATCATCAGGTGAATGGACAATTTATAGCGCATATATACAATGAAATAAATTAAAAATTTATTTCATTAAATAAATGAAATTTATTAATTTAAAATAAATTAAAAATTTATTTCTTTGTATATATGAATAAATATTTAAAAAGTAGAATGAACTATTGATGCTAACATAGATGAATCTCAAAAGAACTTTGCTTAGTGGAAGAAGCCAGACCAAAAATACTACCTGCTTTATGATTCCACATACATAATTTTTAAAAATGCAAACTCTTCTATAGTGACATAAAGATCAGTGGTTGCTTAGAGGGTTGTTTCAGTGATGAAAGGAGGTACTGATTACGACGTAAGAAAACTTTTGGGTGATGGAATGATTCATTATTTTGATTTTGGTGATGGCTTCACAGGGAGATACATGAGTCAACATTTATCGAATGATGGATGCACTTTAAGTGCAGTTCATTATATATGTTATACCTCACTGAAGTGGAAACAAATTGGATGTAAGTATCCCACATGTTGACTACTAAAGTTCTCAAGTTTCATCTCTTCAGTAGGCTTCTGTAAAGTAAAATTCTGGTGAGCTTAAAAAAAAACCTAGATCTCTATGCCAAATTAACTTTGAGCAGCATAATAGAAATGCCTGGGGTTTTAGGGCATTTCCAAATCGCAGTAAACTACAGTTTAATTTGTAATAGGACAAGAGGAAGGAAAAAAAAAGAAGAAAAAGCGGTGGGTGGGGAAATCAGGAAAGGAAAGCAAGAAGAAACAGGGGAAGTACACTCGGCAGGGGAATCGGCAAGACTGCACCTACACACTCTCACCCGCCTCTATAGATTCTCTAGGCAGGAGGCTGCAAGTGGATTAAAATGTTACAACGCAAGGCAAGTCCTCCACCGCAAAAACTGCTCCTCCCAGACTTAGCCCAACCAGCTGGAAACTCCGTGCTTGGAGCGTTAAATCGGACGGACACCCGCCCCCTCTCCACCCTCTGCCTTCCAGCTGCGCCGCATCCTGTTCTCCGTCGCCGCCTGGTGGCGAGCTCCCGGGACCCGCAGGCGCTCGGGTGAGGCAGGAGGGAAGGCGCGGGGAACAAAGGTCCCTGCAGTGGAGGGGCGCCTCGTCTACCTCCGGATGCTTTTGCCACGACTCCGTCTTGGCACCAGTCTTGCTGCCCTGGAATGCAGTTTCCCAAACGCAGCGCTCACTCTGACTCCTCTCTGCTTTTATCCGTCAGGTCTCAGTTCTTGCGGGTGGGAGTCGGCTGAAGGAGCTGCGTTATATGGTTGTGACATCACCCTCCCCGGCCCCCATTTTCAGGTCAGAACTTTCATGCCTTTGGAAACGAGGGACCCAGAAGAGCCCTTACTGTAGGAGGAATGTCGCCGTTAGACCTCTAAGCTCCGAAGAACCAAGGGGAGACAGAATCCAGATTGCTTCCTTAAATCCCAAGTAGTATTGTTTTTTCCACCTTAGAGTCCGCCCCCCCGCCCCCACTTGTCCCATATATTGATCGGCCACTTTGCCACCGTGTTCCAAGGTTGGAGAGCGTCACAATGCCCCACCGTCCCCAACTCTCAAGTGGCCGACAGTGGGCAGTCCAGAAGCTGGGACCAGACTCATCTGCCCGAGGGCACAGTAGGAGGGACGGAGGGATCTCCCAAGAGCTCCGAGGGCGAGGTGAGAACCAATTGTGGGGAGGGGGACCTTATAACGGGGCAGTTAGGAACGGGCAGAGGTGCCCCCACCTCCAGCTTTCAACTCAGGCGAGGAAACTTCGAGACCTTCCCGTCCACACCTGATTGACAGAAGGAAGCTGTCGCGGCCCAGGAGGCGAGTGTGGGTGTGCAGAGGTGGAGACAAAACCTAAAAGCACGCAGAGCCGGCGAGGGCTTGCGGTCCTGGACGGTAGGGGTCTGCGTCTGGTGCCACCTTCTCCATCAGGCTGCTTGCTGGGTCCACCAAGCCTGACCCCTCCAGCCAGGAGGGGATCACGGAGTGTGTCCCCCGCCCGGGCTGCTGCCTGCCGGAAGGGGGCTGGGAAACCGGGATCCCCGCGCGCCACTTGCCTGGCAGCGTCAGTTTCACCCAGGACTGGCTAGCGGTTCCCTCGTGGCTCTGCGCGGAGGTCCGCCTCCTCCCTTCCCTCCCCCATCCCGCGCGCTGCCTCCGCCTCCTTCTTCTGCCTCCACCCTCAACCCCCATCCCCGCCTGACGGGAGCTAGCCCTCAGTCCGCCCGAGCTGTGGTTGTGGGCGCCGGACAAGTCCAAGGCGCCTCCTCCCAATATGGACAGCCGCTACAACAGCACTGCGGGCATCGGGGACTTGAACCAGCTGAGCGCTGCCATCCCGGCCACGCGGGTGGAGGTGTCCGTGTCCTGCAGGTGAGGACGCAGCCCTTCCCCTCTCTCCTGCCCTCTCATCTGTGGGGTTGGTAGCACTTGGAGAGCGCTCGGGGTACCACGAGGCTTTGCGCAGGCAAGAAGTTGCGCCATGAGTGGGAAATATCTCAGTAGTGGGGCTGGAGTTACCCCGGGTCAGGTGACACAGGGGAGCGGGAATTAGAAGCGGTGGGCTCCGGGACTGAGACTTTGTATTTTCTTTCTGGGAAACGCTGTAAAAGTTGGCTGGGCTGTGACTCAGCTGTGGGAACACCGGCCGCCGCCCACTTTACAAGCCGGTTTTCCGCCCCAAACCCGGGCTGGATGGTTGGGTGATGACCGGAATCGAAGGGGACAGCACTGCCAAAAGCTCTTGTGACCGCTGCACGCTTAGGCCCGGGACTTCCTCTGCTAGGCGTGTGCAAACCTGCTGTTGCTAGGGTTGGCTCCAACCCCGGCAGCTTCCTCCCCACCCACTTCCTGGAGCCTTCCAGCTTGCTTCTCCCCGACCCTTCCGGGCTTTTTGCCTTTTGCCTGATAGGTAGAGATTTCGGCCCTCCTTGCAGACGAATCTATGCCTTACCTAAGATCTGGGAAGTCACGACTTTTGTTTTGATTTGTTTTCGGGCCCACATCTGAGTGCTTGTAAAAACTGACTCTCGGCCGGGCGCAGTGGCTCAGTACAGTTTATACGCCTGTATTCCCAGCACTTTGGGAGGCCAAGGCGGGTGGATCACGAGGTCAGGAGTTCGAGACCAGCCTGGCCAATATGGTGAAACTCCGTCTCTACTAAAAATGCAAAAATTAGCCGGACGTGGTGGCACGCGCCTGTAGTCCCAGCTACTCGGGAGACTGAGACAGGAGAATCGCTTGAACCCGGGATGTGGATGTTGCAATGAGCTGAGATCTTGCCATTGCACTCCAGCCTGGGCGACAGCGCAAGACTCCATCTCAAAAAAAAAAAAAAAACAAAAAAAAACTGACTTTCAACCCTGTCCAGAGACTGTAAATTGCAAACTCGTTGTCCTGACCTTTCGGTTAGTTGCCCTGTAAATAAAGCAGCATCACCGCTATATCATAGATGATTTTGAGAAGGAGATGAGCGATGGTGCTAAATTGGTACTGGCCACTAATTTGCGAATTAATATTGACCCTGGAGCCCACTCCCTTGTTTGCATAATTGGGTCTGTCTCACTGGAAAACTGGCTCCTCATTTATCCATTTTTGCCCTAAGATTGTTTTTATGCCCTCACATCCTCCCTTTCCTTTCCTTAGCAAACTTGCCTTGAAGATATCTAACAAATTTGGGTGATCTTGATGTAAATAAGTTTAAAATTCCATCAATCTTGACTTTGCATTTTCACAAACTGAGCCTAAAGCCAAAGGAATTCTTTTCTGGGGGTGAAAATTCGAGCACCAGCAACCGTAGTAGAAGTATTATTTGAGGGTAGGGGACAGCCTTTATCTAGCCCTGAAACTATATCACCTGATTGTTTGCCGCCTCTTAAGACTGATCTGGGACTATGGAAATAATCATGCTGATAATGATAGCTATCATTAAGCTCTTGCCTCATTGCTGTCACTGCTTTAAGTGCTGCCTGAGATTTTTCTGTCAATGGAACAGGTGAAGCTGTTTGGAAAACTCTTTAGAGGATTCCTAGGCCTTTTTCTTTTCTCTGAAGCTTGCTTTCGATGTTAGAGGGAAGTTACTGGTATATACAGATAATGGATAGCCGGAAGTCCTACAATAACAGCATTACTAGAGTTCTTATCCTCTGCTCAACAGTCTGCAAAGTCTGAATGGCATGTGGCCTATACTTGGAATGAATATAAAAGAATATTGTCAATCAAGTCTGAATTTTTCCATGAGCTTTTTAAGGGAAATTATACCTAAACTGGTCATTCTGCCAGTAGGGCCCATGTTTAATGCAGCCCCTTTTTTGATGCATGTTTTCTGTGAGTGTGCTGGGCATACTGAAGTCAATTGGCTTAAGGCAATTTGTTTCAGTTTGCTGCCTCAGAACCTGCAAATCCCTTGTTCCAGCTTTTTTTCATAACATTGCTTTGACATTTTGTTTTTAATTTTTAAGATTTCTAACAGGAAAAAAAAATCCTGAAAGAGAACCTGAATACTTAGTGTCAAGCATCTCTGCCAGGGGCACTAGTGCTTAGTCTATTGTTTGAGTTGCTTCTGACTCAGCTTACTATTTACGATAAGTTTGAGGTAAAAAGCATCTTTTGGGCAAAGAGAAACATAATTAAATACCCAAGTTAGTGCCTTTGGAATAGGTTTGGGAATAGTTCCTGAAAAGGTGGGTTAAATTTATTTTTAATACATTAAAATTCAAAGATAAAAATATTTGAGTATTGTTGGATCTTGTAACCATAGGAGGTGGTTTAGTTTGGGCTTTGGCATCAGAGACCTAAGTACAAATTCTGGCTTTGTGACTTGTTCTTGCTACCTTGGAGTAAGTTCTTATTCAGTCTGTCTAAGCATTCTCATCTCCAAAAATAAGAATAGTTATGGTATTTACCTTATATAGAGTGTTATCAAGGTGATGTGTGAAAGCGCTTACACAATGCATGAAACAAAAACATGTTTTCAAAAATGTTAGCTATTATTATAATACTGGAAATAACATTTGTTGAATAAATGTGTTATATATGATTCAGGTATGGAATTCTGTAAAAGTCCTTCTCTTTTGAACTTCAATAAGTTGGTTAAAGAACACAAGGATAGAACCAGCATTGGGATACCTGTTCCCGCTTTCTCTATCTTCTTTGATGTGCATCAAGAACATGTTTTGTAGAAAGGTTGTGGGGATTTCACTTAGCAACAAAGCACAGTTGAAGGCCTCTGAGCCTTGCTATGGGCAGGCAGAGTAAGGAATTCCCTTGCCTTACTATACCAGAGACTTCTGAGGATTTGCCCACACTTCAAAAGCAGCTCAGATTTGAATAGGTTCTTTCTTTCTCATTCTTTATCTTTCTTTCTCTCTCTCCTTTCTTTCTTTCTTTCTTTTTCTTTCTTTCTTTCTTTCTTTCTCTTTCTTTCTTTTCTTTCTTTCTTTCTTTCTTTCTTTCTTTCTTTCTTTCTTTCTTTCTTTCTTTCTTTCTTTCTTTCCTTCCTTCCTTCCTTCCTTTCCTTCCTTCCTTCTTTCTTTTCTTTTTCTTTCTTTCTTTTTTCTTTCTTTCTTTCTTTCTTTCCTTCTTTCTCTTTCTCTTTCTTTCTTTCTTTTCTCTTTCTCTTTTCTTTTTTCTCTTTCCTTTCCTTTTCTTTTCTTCATTTCCTTTCTTTCACCTCCTTTCACTGTCCCCTATCATTAAAAGCTTTATGACAAAGTTTTTATCTTCATTTTGGGGAAGGTGAAAAAGATAAACGATTGAAGCTTGAATATAATTCATGGAAATAATTTAGTCTGTTTATTCATCAAGTGTCTGAGTGCCTTTTATATGTCTATGTTTATGCTAGGGTCCATGAGAAATGCAAAAGAAGTTCTCTGAAAATGTAAAATCTGATTGAGAGATAAACACTACATAAGACACGGTAACGGGGCTAAATTCAAAGATGAGGCTCATGCATGAGGAGGGAAAGGATCATTGTGGAATAGGGTGCTTGGAGTATATTACAAAGGGGAGAGATGGGGCTTGGGCAGAGACAAGCTGGATAGGCATGGTTTGGATTAGAGAAGGGACAGTGGTTAAATTTATAGCCACTTAAATTTGTGTTAAGGGGGTGAGAGGTACCCTTTTCTAGATGTATTTATGCAAAGGCAAGCTCCTGCTATTTGACCTCCTTCGTCTTCTACCCATTGTCTAGCTCTTCTTGCATTCATTTTCTTTTATTGTATAAATTTGTAGATTTTTAAATTAATTAGCTTACTTAATTAACTAAAAATGCCTGTAGCTGAAATGATACAACCTTGAGAGATAAACTAAGGTAATATTTCCATTTTATTCTGAAAGCTTATTACTATAGAATGAGGTAAACCCACTGGGAAAAATAATATGCAGTAATCACCTGTTTTCCTTGGGTCCTTGATTTTGTTGCACTATTTCACTGATTTTCATCATTTTCTCTGATTGAGAAGTCAGCTTATCAATAATAAAAGCAGTGAGAATATTGTGTATTTCTAGACTTTGCATGTTAGGTATCAAATGTACATCCTGTCACAGAAATAATCCTATAATGGTGATAATACTGACTATTTATTTATTTGAGATGGAATCTCACTCTGTGGCCCAGGCTGGAGTGCAGTGGTGCGATCTCTGCTCACTGCAACCTCCACCTCCCAGGTTCAAGCAATTATCCTTCCTCAGCCTCTCGAGTAGCTGAGATTACAGGTGCCTACCACCACGCCCAGCTAATTTTTGTATTTTTAGTAGAGATGGGATTTCACCATGTTGGCCAGCTGGTCTGGAACTCTTGACCTCAAGTGATCTGCCTACTTTGGCTTCCCAAAGTGCTGGGATTATAGGCCTGAGCCACTGCCCCCCTGGCCAATACTGACTTTAAACATTAAAGTGGAAGGAAGACTATGAAGTGGAAAAGGGTTGAGTGCCTACGTGGTGCTAGGCATTCTAAAAAGCCCTTCCTGACCTGGTGTAAGTCTATTGCCTCATCTCCCATCACTCCTTGCATGAACCCAGCAACTGTATATAGTCTGATAAACAGATGTGTGCCATAGCCCAAAATGCATGCCCGAGAAATACGGCTAAAAAATACTTATAAAAGGTACAGTCCCAAAGTGTGAGCGTTCATCCTAGACAACCAAACTCCTCATGCTTTTGTGGCTACACAGGTGCTGCTCTTTGCCCTGCCCTACCTCCCTTCCCCTTCTTTTCTGGATTAGGCTGTGCTCCTAAACTGGATTAGTCCCAAAGTAGCTGAGGTGTGCCAGTGTCATAGGTATATTACCACTCTTAGTCTTTCTATTCTCCTTGAGGACAAGTTTTGTCTCTTTCATGTCCATGTACTATATTCTGAGCTTGGCACAGAATATGTAGTTAGTAAATGTTTGATGCTGCAGTTCTATAGCCAAATTGTCTAATGTGGGAAGAGGGATTTCTCCTGTTAAAATATCATTCCTAGGTCCCATAGCAGATCTATTGAATCAAAATCTCTGGGGATGGGACCCAGGAATCTGAGCTTTTAACAAGTTCAAGCTGTGCTGGTTATACACACTAATTATTTTCATCTCTTGGTTTCATGAGTAAGTGACTCTAACTCTAGTCCCTTGATCTGAGTTAGTAAAACCCACCCTACTAGGGTGTTAGGAAGATACTTTTTGATGGTGTGCTGGAGCTTAAATGGGTTTGGGAACAGAAATTTGTAAGTCAGTTGTTAAAGTGACTATTAAAAATTGAATTATATAAACAAAATTAAATTATATTAAAAATAAATTTAAGAAATGCTGAAAGGTTATAACTTCCTAATTGCTTTACTACATGTTACTGTCATCTGTTTTTTTTTATAATCATCTATTCTCTATTTTTTAAATCTGTGTGTTGAAAGTATTCTGCAGTGCTGTGCTTCTGTTCTCTTCCCAATTCATGTGTGCCACCTTGGCAGCTTGAAATAAGCCATAGTGGGAATATTTACACCATGGGAATTGGCAAACACTGCAAATCAGTGTTTGACTTACCCTTTTGTCATCTGTATTTAAGAAATCATTCTGTGGGAATCAGTTGACTCTATGGAGTTTATAATAAAAGTACTATGTGCAACTTATTATTTGTAGATTGTGTGCCAAGCTACATACTCTACACATCAGTAAAAAATAACAAATTTTGTACACACAAACGTTCAGCTTTTTATTGAAGAGGTTGTTTTAAAATATATACTTGCACATCACTGTTTATGGACTTTTGGAAAAGGTAAAGCCTTATATAAAAGAAAATTATTGTTGTTTGTCTGGTTCAGTTCTGGCTATTATAATAAAGTACCAGAGACAAGGTGGCTTATTAACATCATACATTTATTTCTCACAGTTGTAGAGGATGGATGTCTGCGATCAGGGTGCCAACATAGTCAGGTTCTGATGTGAGCTTTTTTTTCAGGTTACAGGCTGCCAGCTTCTCACTGTACTTTCACATGGCCTACAGAGAGTGAGAGAGCTCTCTGGGGTTCCTTTTATCAGGACAGTATTCCCATTCATAAGGGCAGGCACCATCATCATGACCTAATCATCTCCCAAAGGCCCTACCTCCTAATATCATCACATTAGGGGTTAGGATTTCAACACATGAATTTTGGGGGGACGCAAACATTCAGTTCATAACACTCTTGTTAGACTGTCACTATTAGAAGTGGTAGTGTCAAGTTCAGCACTATCTCTGGTCTTCCTTCTCTACTGGAATAAGTGGGGTTGTATGATTTTATAATCCATAAAAGTTGTGATAGCAGGTATATTGCAGTTAGGAACTTAGAGACTTTTAAATTTCTCCCTCTCCTTTTCATGTGGTTCTCTCTACACTTTTATTCTTCTCTTACTTTGAAGTTGTATTTTTCTTTCCCTCTTTCTCCATCCACTGGTGGCATATCCTTTGCAAGTTTACATGTTACAAGTCCAGCTACACTTAGTGATTAACTGACCATCTGCGAAAGCAAAGTTAGATTCCAAGAGAGAGTGTCTGACCCTTTTTGGAGTTGGCTGTCTGAGGTAGATACCTGTGCTGTTCTAATGATCTGCGGTGAAAGGAATCAAAGCATTCAAACACAACAGTTGGAGGCTCTACCTTAGTCCACATTGGTTCATCTCTTAGCATACTTTACCTTTCTTTAGTCAGACAAAAAATTTGGAGATACTATGTAAATAGATTTTCAAGTGATGTTGTTAGTTGATAAATTAAGTTATATAAGCTAGGGATATTAGACTGCCTGTTGTGCTGTTAATGAGCCATATGACAGGTAAACAGAGGGTAAAGTTGTTGTAGACCGTAACATCCTATTCTGTCTCTGCAGCTCTTGAGATCCTGTGGTTCAAGATTGTAGTCACCCTGTAGTGCCTTTTTTGATCATATTTAGGTTTGTCTTAGCCCCAGAGTTTCAGTAAAATTTGTCCTGGGAACTTTCTGAACTGTGGCGTTGAAGTCTTAATGTGAGAGTTGCCCTGGTATATTTTTTTTTCAGAGAAATACCTTACTTAACATTGTTGTTCCACCAGTATTTTGGTCTGCCTGTGTTTTTTAGCATTTGGGGCCTGAGGGGTTTTAAAACAGCCCTGGTATGTGGAGAATGCTAATCTAGAAGCAGTTTAAAGGACAGGATCCCACAGGAGAGGGTGGTAATAGCTGTGCTCCTTTAGGTCTGTTATTTGTGTTGTAGCAGGCAGAAGCCTATATCCCCTATTTGAGTTTACTCAAGACTGAGAAGAAATACAATTCCTCTCAAAGAGATTTCATCCAGTTCTTAGCCTGTTTGAGAGCCAGTTTTGCTTAGCGCTGAAGAACGTGGGTGTAGGGCTAGATTAGCTCTGCCACTTAGTATCTTTGAAACATCTGTTCCTCAGTTTCCTCATCTGTAAAGTGGGGATAATAATAGCCCCCAGTTCTTATATTTGCTTTGAGGATTAAATAAGTTAATACATGTAAGTGAGATAAAACACTGCTTGTGACATTAGTTAAGCACTCAATGATTACAAAGAGATAATAAAAAAATTAAAATCCTTCGCTGTTGCGTCAAACTATGAGCAAATGAGTTCATTTTTGTCTCATGTATAGCATCACATTTATATTCTCTCTGTGTATATTAATATATACACACATATAATATATAATACATAATACAATATGTAATATATTAATAGTGTGTATTAATATAGAATATAATTATATATTCTATACAATATTTTTCCTGTACTTTTCCCTTAATATTATATCATGAATATGTTGTTGTTATTAGTTTTTGGAAATATAACCTTCCATGTCTGTGCAGTATTCTATTATATGGTTGTACTATGTTTATTTAACTTAACCCTTGTTTTCCAAAATTTATTTCAAAAAGTTGCTATTCAAAACAGTGTTAAAAATGAGTATTCTCCATCACAAACATCTAACATCTCTGGTTACTTTTTTTTCCTGGGGATAGTTTTCTAGAACTGAAATGATTAATAAGCTATCTTCTCAAAGGGATTTTGGTAGCTTGTTTTGGTTACTTCCATCCCATTCCTATTTAAATACGCAGAATCAAGGCTAAGCTACTGGCTGCACTTTTCTAAATACTTTTATTACCATAAGAATGTTGCATTTAGAGATTAATGAGAATTTGAGGCAGCAGAGTATAGCAGCAAGAAAATGGAATTAGAAATCAGACAGATGTCTTTAAATCTCATTTTTATCCCTTTTTGGAATGTTATTTTGGGTAACCTGTTTCAACTTTTGGAACCTCATTTCCTAATCTGTAACATAGAAATTATTTAAAAACCAAAATTTCAAGGTTGTTGGATGAGTAAATGAAATAAAGTCTGTACAATGCCCAGCCTGTCACAAGAAAAGCACTAACTGGCTATTAGTCTTATCCCAGGTTCTTCAGCATTTTACTGTGTGGCACACAGCAACATAGAAGAAGGTATCTGTACTTTGGAAAAATTTATAGTCAATTTGGGGAGCCACAGAAACATAGAACCAAGGTGACAGTGATAAAGCTGCATGTTATCCCATGCTGATTAATTCAATGTGGAGAGAGTGTGGAATAAAACAGTCGTTAGAATAGTGTGGATTTGTAAATGCACACTCAGTTTCTACAGATTCCACCCCATAGGCCCACTTCTGCCAAGACACAATCAGTCATGTGGGATTTGACAGGTAGGAGGTAGTCTGCTATAATAACCAAGTTTTAGAACAAAAGAACATTCTTGTATCTGCTCAATAAAGTCAACGGGCTGATATTTAAGACAGCTGTTTTGTGTTGGGCATGATAAAACAGATACTGCTGTAGTTGCCAATACAGGCTGAGGTAAGGCAAGTAGTTATTGCCTGTAATAAAATAGGATGTATTTAAAAGGTGCCTGACCCAGGGACCAATGATGTTCACTCCCTGATACACAATACCTTAATATTGGCAAACTTAATGACAACATTCAGTGTTAGTGCCTCTCCAGCCAGGACCATTAGCTACCAGACATTCTTGTTCAAATTGTGAGGGTTTTTGTCAGGTTTATTCTGTGAAGAATAATGTTGCAGACCTTCTGAGGGAATCATCAGCTGATTTTCTGAAACTCTGAAGAAACAAAATATCACTGATAGTCCCCAGCAAATATTTCTATTTATTAGACAGTAAACGAATTCAAATATAAGCTATTTTAATGAAGCCAAGAAACATGCAACTTTTGGATATTTGCCATCTATTTTCTTTAAATTAATCTCAAAATCTAACTCTTTGTCAGACAATGTATAAAGTGGTTAATGTGGGCTAATTCATTCAATCCTTGCAATTCTGAAAAGAGGTGATGTTATGTCCTGTTTTACAAGTGAAGAAATTGAGGTTTAGAGAGAGTATAAGTAATTTGGTTTAAGTCACGTATCTAGTAAGTGGCAAAGTTGAGTTCCTATCCATATATGTCTAATTCCTAAGCATAAGCTTATGACCATTAGCTATATTATGTTGTTCTTCCATAAATTCTTTATTGTCGGCTTGAAGAGTGGAGCTCTTTTCTGTCAATACCAGTGTGTTAGTAACTAAAAGAAATTATAAAGCTTAGGAGATGCAATTATAATAGATCATATCAACACTACTCTACCACAAAGGATATATTTCTCTGAGGATGCAAAACACAGAATGCTTTCCTGTTTTTCTGTTCCCTACTGGTGAGAGCTTTGAGTAGAGCAATTCATAGGAGTGGCATAAACTTTAACCATGTGATGTTTTATTTCCAGTATTGATTCTTATCTTTTTCTGATGCTGAGTTACCTAATGAAGATGTAGGAAATTAAGTAATGAGAAGACTATTTAGCTAGAAATCAGCAGGCAGGGTGAGATGAAAACTAAATACTGGAGAGAGGTGATAGTCTGGGCAAATGAAAAGTAAGAAAAGTTAATTGAAATGACTATGTGACATTCAAATTTACCAGTGGAATTGAGAATTGACCTCAGGCCCTACAATTTCAGTCCAGTGCTTTCTTAGCACTGGGGAAGTCACCGTTTAACTTGCTAGCTTTTCAGTAATACTTAATTCCAGAGTTTCCCTTCATGGCAAATTCATTCTTCAGAATTTCATGTAAATAAAATAACTACTTCGATATTAATATCAGTACATTATTCTGAGCTATATGAATTGTGGCATGAGTTTGTAAAAGTCAATTTTTTCTTACCTTGCTAATTAGCTTCATGCTCTCTATGTATGTAAAATAAGTAACAAGTGACACATTAATTTTATTAAGAACAATCTCAAATGTCAGAGAGTGTAATGAACCAGAGATATGATTATAATTGCCATAACTGGTTGAAACCAACATGTGTCTCTGCCTTAGCATAATAGTGGTTTTATAATCATTTTGAGAAATGTAATTGTTTCTCACTGTCTGCAGATCCTTCTTATTGCATCCATCTCCTATAACTCTGAGCATTCCTACAATCCTCTTTTATCTAAATGTACTCCTATAAAGGAGTACTCTTTTATCTAAATGTACTCCTATTTGTAGATTTTTTGGTAATTGAAAGTAACACAAACATTTTTCTTTAATGTCTTAAATAGGTTTTCATGTTTCCAAGCTATAAGTAAAGAATATGAGAGAGAGAGAGAGAGAGAGAGAGAGAGAGAGAGAGAGAGAGAGAGAGAGAGTGAGCTGGAGTGAGAGCAAGCACGTGAGACTAAGGGATACGTGGGAACTACACTAGAATAATAAATGTATTTGCTAAACCCATCTCAATTACCTACGATTTTAGATATAGCTTATTATCTGACTTATCTTGGTATCTCCACTCTCAAATTAATTATGGAAGCAGAGATATTAGAAAGTTGATTACAATTGATTTTTATGCCAGTGGTTTCATCCAAAGCCTCTTGTAGGCATTGGGGAAAGGAGGCGTAATCAATATCAAGTTACTAGTGAATTTCTCTCTTAATTGATAATTTAAATTAGTAAATTAAAAAAATTTTTTTGGGAAAAGTTTGAAGTATACTACCTAAAAGATGATTGATTTTTTAACTTAAGACATATCTTATAATGGCTTTATTTTCTTTGTTTCACTTAAATCACTGTGCCATTGGAATGTCATATATATGGCATCTTGCTTCCTTGTGGAACACTTCAGCAAAGAAACAGCATCTGTTTTGTTTCTGGAACTAGCTCTGTGAACTTTGACAATCATGCCACTTCACTGGATCTTAGATCCTATAGAAAGGTTGAGTCTCTGGTCAAGATGACCTATGATATTACTTGGAGGTTCATAATTTTATGATTGGAGAAGCAGGACCTTAAAATAAAATGGGGACATACTTCAGTTTAAGGAAATAATGTGATTGTCAAAGCCCATTGTAAACTAGTGGTGATAATTTATCTTTAATAAAACAAACAAAAAAGGCTATTTTACTTTCAAAATATTTATCTCAGAATGTCTTTAGATAGACAATTCCTCTAGTGTATTTAAAATGATATTGAAATATGAATTTTAATTTTAATCAGAACAATTGCAGATATAGAGTAAAAGTTATTTATTATCTTTGAGTTTTTTAAATAAAAGAAGGTTTGTGAAGAAAAAGTAATAGGGAAAGGAGTAGTATTGTTACTGCAAAGGGCTCCCGACCCAGACACCAAGAGAGGGTTCTTGGATCTCGTGAAAGAAAGAATTTAGGGTGAGTCTATACAGTAAAGTGAAAGCAAGTTTATTAAGAAAGTAAAGGAATAAAAGAAGGGCTAACCCATAGGCAGAGCAGCACCAGGGTGGCTGGTTGCCCATTTTTATGGTTATTTCTTGATTATATGCTAAACCAAGGGTGGATTATTCATGCCTCCCCTTTTTAGAACATAGAGGGTAACTTGCTCATGTTGCCATGGAATTTGTAAACTGTGATGGCGCTGGTGGGAGTGTAGCAGTGAGGATGACCAGAGGCCACTCTCATTGTCATATTGGTTTTGGTGGGCTTTGGTTAGCTTCATTATAGCAGTGTGTTTTATCAGCAAGGTCTTTATGACATGTATCTTGTGCTGAACTTCTATCTTATTCTGTGACTAAATGCCTTAACCTCCTGGGAATGCAGCCCAGCAGGTCTCAGCCTTATTTTACCCAGCCCCTATTCAAGATGGAGTTGCTCTGGTTCAAACACCTCTGACAGTGTTAACATATATTTAGAAAACCTTAATTTCCTCCAAACAGTTTAACTTTGTTGCCATATTACACTTGATTTTCTAGACATAGGCTCTTAAACCTTTGTGTGATCATGAGACTTTAAAAATGTAGGCTCTAATTCAAGTGTCTAAGGTTTTTTTTTTAAAGAACTATTATGTTAGATTATTTCTAACACCAACTACTTGCTATTTCAACGTCCTCATTTTCCTTAATATTCTCCCCAAGAGTTGTCAAGTTCTGCTGTTGCTGTTCTAGTTTTTTCTCTCAACAGAAATCTATAACAAACTGTATTCATGGAAATGAACAGTGTTTGATATGAATAGATATCGGTGCCTTTTCAGTAATTTACTTTTCTAATATGTTACTTTTAAAAAATCATTTAGGTCTCTTTGGCAACTAGAGAGTTTTTAGTAAAATTGTCAGATGGATTCAGTCTTGTGTGCTTCCTCTGATCAGTTGTCACTGAGTGTGGGCTACCTGGGCTTTCTGGAACAGTTGACTTTCAAAATGAAATAAGCCAACACTGTGAGTCATGTATGCTATTACTTCCCTACCATTATAATGCTTGACTTACTATATTTCATAAGCTTTATGAATGGTTTCGGTACTTTTAAAATCACCTTATCAGTCACCAAGACTTGTTTATTCCATTCTCCAAAGTGTCGGTCACCTCCTTTCCATTTCTGCTGTCTCCACTCTGGCTCAAGAAGTAATCATTTTTCCTCTTCTTCACACATGTAGTGAGCTTCACATGTTTAGTTAGCTTTGTAAACAAAGGTTGAATTGCATGATTTTTCTTTGCAGAAACTTCCACTGTTTCAGCGTGTCCCCTTTGTTTACAGAGTAAAGTCCAAGTATGCTAGCATGTGTTCAGAGTACTTACTCATCCTGCCCAGATTCCTTTCCCAGCCTTATCTCAGACATGGGCACCAGCCAAAGTGGACTAGGTGTTAATCCCCACGTTCCTTTGTGTCTTCCCTTTCTCCACCCTTGTTGACACTTTCCTACAGCCTGAGAAGCCTTTCCCCCATTTGTGGCTCTCCTTGCCTGGTTGTCAAGATTTACCTCACTCAGTGCAATTTGTGATATTTTACTAGATTCTTGAAATTGGAATTAATTGTTGCTTCCTTGGAGTTCCCAGACAACATTTCTTGTACATTCTTTTTGTTTTATTTTGACTTAAAATTTTTTAGGTTTTTGCACGCCTGTCTCCCCAACCAAGTTTAAAAATATCTATTTGTTTTATCATTGATTATTACAAAACCAGACTTTGTGCTTTGCACATGAAAGGTTTTCAATAAATGTTTGCCACTTGATAGATTGGAAGAATGAATGTGGACATCTATGAATTTGAATATGTTTATACATTATATGTTTATACCCTTAAAAATATTAGTTTATATTGGCTGGTTGTGGTGGCTCACGCCTGTAATCCCAGCACTTTGGGAGGCCGAGGCGGACGGATCACATGAGGTTGGGGGTTTGAGACCAGCCTGACCAACATGGAGGAACCCTGTCTCTACTAAAAATACAAAATTAGCCCGGCATGGTGGCGCCTGCCTGTAATACCAGCTACTAGGGAGGCTGAGGCAGGAGAATTGCTTGAACCTGGGAAGTGGAGGTTGTGGTGAGCCGAGATCGTGCCATTGCATTCCAGCCTGGGCAACAAAAGTGAAAACTCCGTCTCAAAAAAAAAAAAAATTAGTTTATACACTTAGTGAGAACACTGAAATGCCTGCCTGATTTTGCTATTCAGTAAAGATATAATTATTTAATCTTTGTTTATATAACGTTCTACAAAGTTTTATTTGTGAAGAAATGAGAAACAAATAAATTTAAATTAAAACACATTGTCCTCAAGCAGAGCAAAGCTAATTTTAGAGGTGGCCACAGTACATTCTAAATATTGACGGATAATTTGGCCAGGCGCAGTGGCTCATGCCTATAATCGCAGCACTTTGCGAGGCTGAGGTGGGTGGATTATTTGAGGTTGGGAGGTTGAAATCAGCCTGGACAACAGGGTAAAACCCCATCTCTACTAAAAAATACAAAAATTTGTCAGGTATGGTGGTGGGTGCCCATAATCCCAGCTACTTGGGAGGGCGAGGAGGCAGGAGATTCTCTTCAACCCAGGAGGCAGTGGTTGCAGTGAGCCGAAACTATGCCACTGCACTCTGGGTTGGGTGACAGAGTGAGACTCTTTCTCTCTCTCTCAAAAAAAATATTTTATATATATACATATATATATATGTATATATATAAATAAAAATGTTGACAGATAATTCGCTTAATCTGGGCATGAATACTACCCAAAAAAAGGAGACAATTTGCATGTGTGATATCCTATATAAAATACCTAAGTAGAAAAATAAGTGAACATATCTTTTACTCAAGGAAGACTTTTGTCTTGGGGAAAAATATGTCTTAAAGTACTTGGTGAACTAATAAAGTGCAGCAGCACGTGATGGTTTCACTTGGGTATAATTTAGGGTAAGAAGAGCTGTTTGGTGGCCTGGCCACTTGAGGAAGCAAAAATTTGCTTATATGCTAATGTACTTCTTCCAGACTCTGTATTTTTTTTTATCACCAATTTAAATTTTGTGCCACACAATGTAAAATAAAATTTTAGAAAAGTCAAAATCCAACTAAAGAAAAGTGTCAAGGATGAGAAGATGGAAAACAATGCTTTCTATAAAAAAAGGAAAAGACAGAACTTGTTTACACATGTTCAAGTTAAAAATGAGGAAGTTTACTTAAGTCAAGTCACTATCCATAAATCATGTCTTTCCTACACTTGTCTGGCTATAAAGTTTCCTTGGATGGCCTAAGTAATTTCCTAAGTGCTTGTAACAGCTGAAGTATCTAAGTGCTCAGTTGATTATATTTAGCCTAAAATGTTGTCATCCCTGATTACATCAAGTCTTTCCAGAGAAACAGACCTCATTAGTGGCTATAGCTATAAAATTAGGAAAAAAAAAGAAAATTATAAAGCCACTTTGTTTCAATGAGGTCAATAAATGGTAATACAAGGTGAAGATGATGATGATTGATGAACAATTTCCAGCACATATATAAAATGCTGTGATTTAAAAAATGCAACTGTTGTGTGGTTGTGTCATTTTCATTTTGGCAGCATGGTCTAAACCAGCTATTGTCAACAAGAGGCACCATCAAAATTGCTTCAGAGGTTTTGCGAACTACTTATGGGCACTCCTGAAAATTCTAGGTTGCTTTCCTACAAGGGACTAAGTCCTCCCCATCATTTTCTCTATGCCCCCAATACCCCAGTAAAACTTCTGTCAGTTGAGCCTCAGGCCTCATCCTCCCATTCCTTCTACTTCCGTATCGTCTCTTTAACATGGCTGACCATTCTGCTAACTAGGTCCAGGCCAGTCTGACCCATGCAAAGACTATGCACAAGTTCCTTGACTCTTCCAACCTCACAATCTCTGGCCAACCTTCTCCTCCTCGCCAGGAATCCTGTACTTTGAGCTGGTAGAGTTGTACTCAAAAAGGGCAAATGACATCATACTATTACTCCCTTGTTTAAGACCCTCTAGTTGCCTGTATAATGAGTCATCAGGATCTTCCAAACCCTGACTTAAATTTTCAGCCTCATCTCTTTCTCTCTATGTCCCACCACCCTCCCCTTCTCCACTTTTGCCTCTAAACTCTTTCCTAAACTCTAAGTCACTTCAGACACCTGTGTTTCCTGAGAAAACCATGATGTTCACACTGTGGTTCTCTCTGGTAGGAACAGTTTGGCCTCACGTTGTTATCTCACCTGATGGACTCTGCCGATAGTTCAAGCATCACTCATACTATGAAGACTTTTCCTGATCCTTCAGATTGACTTGCCCACCCCTCCCTTTCTCTAATTTGTAATGAATTTATTATACATATTCCACATTTCACTGCACATATTTGTTTATAAATCTGTCTCCTTAATGGAATATAAATAATCTAGGGCCTGGAGCCCAATGTGTTCATATCATGGTCTCCAACACTAAATCCTTTATCTGGCACTTAATAACCTAGTGCTGGTTGAATCAACATTTGAATGAGTGTCAGACAGCTATTAAACTGTAAATTCTCATAGGATAAGAATCATGTCTTATTCAGCTTTGCATCCCACTTAGCTTCTAGTCCAGTGTATTGCATATAGAAAGTGCTTGATAATTATTTATTCAATATATAGTTGAAGAAAGGAACGTTAGTAGAAGAAAGGCACATCACATATGAACAGGAACCATGGCTGGAAGGCCTGAAGGCCAGAAAGAGTATAGTATTAATTGAGTTGAAAAAAAATCAATTGTAAAAAGGCAGGATGAAGGAGACATAGCGAAGCAATTGCCTATGCCTGTTTCATTCAGTGGTTTTTTTAGGACTTGTAGAACTGTAGGTAGGATGGGCTGCTACTGAGATTTTGTTTCCATTGTTGTTTTGTTGGTTTTGGGGCCGAGATGAGAGCCTTTGAGTCAGGGCACACTTCTGTTCTACTCACTTCTGATAAGGATGAAACATACATATTAGGAAGTCATTTTCATTCTCCTGTATCTCAGCTGATCATTTATGCTGACCTACATATTCCCATTTGGATTAGTTCCTTCTTCTGTTTAAATTCTGTTATTGAGTCTGCAAATCTCAGATTACTCCTAGGTACTTCTGAATTGTCCAATGGTCCAAAGAAATTACAGAAGATATTGCTTAAAATCTGGAGGAAGAAAAAAACCAACCTTGCCAATCTAGCCTTACCTTTACAAGCATGTTATTGTTTTCATTGTCATAGCCTATGTATTATTTCATGCATCTTAAAGAGAGCTGGCTCAAGACAACCTTGCATATAGATAAAGATTTTCTTTTGAAATGTTGAAATGTTGAGCCTGAATATACATGACTTTTCCTCCATTATAGAAGCAACATATTATTCTACAGCTAATAGACAAAGGAACAAAATGTTAGAAAATCCAGTCATATGATCAATATATTTTGGGAGTGGTGCTTGGAAGGCAGCAGTATGTGAGCTGATGTTGGGTAGAGTGATGTTAGCCTCCAGCTTTCTACTTAGTGGAGATCTGTAGGCACATCACAGTCATCAGCTCTTGCTTCTTGGACAAGTGATCCATTGCACTGACTCTGGGAAAAGCAATAAACCCTAAAAGACTGCTAATCTAGCTAATTGTGTAAAATATTTGGAGGATCATTGTCCACTTAGCTGTTAGCAAGTGAGCTGAAATGTGGTTACTGCTTTTAGAGTGGGCAGGAGGAGAGACTGAGAAAAATAATGATATATAATCTCAAGTGTTGTAACGTAGTTAGGGAATGGTGTAATGTATTACAGGCTTAGCAAAAGTTTAGAGCCAGAAAGATCTGGATTTAAACGGCAACTCCATACTTTACTCTGAGAGTTCAGATAAGTTAGTTTCCTTGTGCTTCTGTTTATAGAAATTCCTTCTGATACAGTTGTATAAGGATTGTTTGAGATAATATTAATAAAGTGTTTTGAAAGTTTCAATAGCTTAGCAAGGAATTCTTGTTTTTATACAGATATTCAACTGAAATATTTGGAAAACAGTAGATCACTTCATGAAGATAAAGTTGTAAAAATATGCAAAAAAAAATCAAATTATGTTGAAAAGAGCAAAGGAGAAAGTACAAATCACCCCAACTTTCTTACCCAGCAATAGGTCAGGCCAAGCAGATATCTCTTTGTGCATTTATTTAGAGGCATATAAGGCATATTTCCATTCATATTTATTTTACAATGACTTACGTAAGATGGAAGTCGAGTTTTTTTCCTTGGATTTTGGCTTCAGATATTAATACCTGAACCTAGCTGCTGCTTTTCAGGCCTAGTACCCCCTGCCTGGAGAGCATCTCTCCAAGGGAATGATCTCAGCTGTGGTCTCAATATACCCCTCTTCCTATCTGTCTGCCTCCATGGAGCCTTCACTGCTGTTGTTAAAACATTGCTGTTGACAGTGCCACTGGGAAGTTGCAGTAATGTCCTATTGCTACAAGGCCTGGCATGAGACCTTGCTGTCTGCTGTCCCTGTAACCCTGTATGTAACTCTGCTCATTGCCTCCTGGTGCTTGTCTCTCTTGATTTACCAGATCTTTGTGGTTCTATGTGGTCCTTCTAGGTTCAGTCTCAGTCAGAAGTCCTCCTTACCAAAGACTCCCTGGGTGTCGTCATTTCTTTAAATCCATATATTCACAACTTTTTTGCTCTGTGGGCACACACCCCACAGTTCCAGGCTCCAGACTGTGTGGGCCTGTCTTTGTCTCTGAATCTGGGTCTCCCATCTGAGCTCTACCTTCTTTTGTAAAGAAATTCCTCTCAGAGTTTCCTATTATATATTCCTTCCACCAGACCCTGGCTGGGCCGACAGTATAAACTTAAAAAGATATCAAGAGGATTCATTTTTCATTTTACCAGGAGGCTCTTTGGCCCCTTTTAATTTCATAGAAGGCAAAAGGAACTTGGAGGAGCAGCCTTAGGCTCACATTACATCTCTTCTTTCTTCTACAAAGTGGACTTGAGATCAGGGCTTAACTATTCCCATACACTACTCTAGTAGTGCCTGGCACATAATACATGCCCAATAAATCTGTGTTGAAAGAAAGCATGAATGAATATTTTCGAATGAATTTGACCTTTTTCCTTAATCACAGTTTAGGGCTTTATCACTTAATTTAGGGCATTGCACACCCACTCTACATTATTCTCTTTGCCTTTGCCTCTAGATAGTTTTTCCAATATTTACTATATGCTGGGTTTGCTCTAAGCACTTTATATTTACTTACTTACTCCTCAAACAACTCTATGAGGAGGATACTATGATCATCTCCTTTTTTACAGATAAGAAAACTGAAGCCTAGAGAGTTTTAGTTTACACAGCTAGTAAATGGTGGAACTGGTGGTTCCCAGTTGTAATGACTGTTCAGAGGTGGCACCCTGCCAGGTGATGACAAGTCCATGAGATCTGGTGATTGTACTGAAGTGGGGAAAAGCTGGCAGTCTCTTCTTGGGTGCCAGAATTATAAAATATGAAGCTAATAACCCCAGCCATCTATATTAGCCTGTTCTCCCCTTGCTGTAAAGAACTACCTGAGACTGGGGGTAATTTATGAAGAAATGAGATTTAATTGGCTCACCGTTCTGTATGCTGTACAGGTAGCATAGCTGGGGAGGCCTCCAGAAACTTTCAATCATGGTGGAAGGCACAAGGGGAGGCAGGCACGTCTTTACATGGTGGAGCAGGAGAGAGAGAGAGAAGGGGGAAGTACTACACACTTTTAAACAACCAAATCTCCTGAGAACTCACTATCACAAGAACAGAAGGGGGAGGACTGCCTCCATGATCCAGTCACCTCCCACCCGGCCCCTCCTCCAACATTGAGGATTACAATTCTACCTGAGATTTGGGTGGGGACATAGAGCCAAACAATATCAGCATCTATGTTTCCCACCATGTAGTTTAGAGAAGTAGAGGAAGCAGTTAAAAAAAAAAGATTGAAATAGATAATACTTGCACACAGAAAAGCAGTTTGGATATTTCTGCCCTTGTTTTCGTTCTTCTCACAGGGTCAGCTACATGCCTGAATCTGGGCTGTATAAAATATCTGTATTTTCACCGTAAATTTCCCTTTTCTTCTGTAACTTACAACTAAATGAGTTCTATTCATGCAGCTAATATTTGTCTGTCTCACAGTAGAGCATTATCTTATTTATTTTATTTGCATGTCATTGCTCATTATTCAGGATGAACTTTATTTAAAATGTGAGTGACCAAATATATTTCTTCCTCTTATAAAATGCCAATTCACTTCTTTAAGTCATTTTTCTTTTGGGGTGCTTATACTTTTTTCTCATTAATTTAGAGAATGCTTTGTATATTTATAGCCTTAACATTCTTGTATATGATATATGTAACAAATGTTGCATTTTGAGTTTAATTATTATATCATTTTCTGTATATAAGTTTAAAATACATTCATTATCATATAAATTAATTTTTTCTCTAGGCTTCATATAAAGCTTAGAAAGTATCCTTTATGCCAAAATTTTAAAATAATATGTTACATTTTCTTCATCTTTTTTTCAATTGATTGTGGTTGATGATTTTTCTCTGTAATTTACTTTAAAATATTTCAGCAGAGAGTGTCATATAGATGTGTGTGTTAGACTGTAGAGTTAAATCTCAAGGATCCTAATCAGTTTTATATACTTTGGGTGTGGGGAGTTAGCATTGGAAGTTTAATCAGTAGCTCATGCTCTGGAAGTGGCTACTCCTAACTGGTAGACTGTCTTTACCCTTTATCAACACGAGAGCGTTTTGTAATTACAATGGATGTTAGGCTTAAAAAAACCAAACTGATAAAACGTGTGGTGATCAGGTATGTGGATTGACTACTTCATACCACTATACAATTATAAAAAAAAAGACTGACAATAACATTGGAGAGGATGTGGAGAAATTGGAACAATTATATATTGCTGGTAGGAATGTAATATAATGCAGTCACTTTGGAAAATAGTTTGGCAGTTTTTTCAGATTTTAAAAATAGTGTTACCATAGGACCCAGCAATTCTGTTAGGTATGTACCCCAGAGAAGTGAAACCATATGTCCGCATAAAAACTTGTACAAATCTTCATTGCAGTATTATTCATAATAGCCAAAAAATAGAAACAACCCAAATATCTATGAATCGATGAACCAAAGTAGTATATCCATACAATAGAATATGATTTGGCAATAAAACGGAATGAAGTACTGACAGATACTACAACATGGCTGAATCTTCAAAACATCATGTACTTGAAAGAAGCTAGTCACAAAAAGAGCACATATTGTATATGATCATGATTCTATTTACATGAAATGCTCAGAATAGGCAAATACATGGAGACAGAAAGATTAGTGGTTACCAGGGGCTCGGGGAAGTGGAATAGGGTGTGATTTTTGATGGGTTCAGGGTGTTTTTGGTGGGAGGAGAGAGGAAAATATTCTAAAATTAGATAGTGGTAGTAGTTGCACAACTCTGTGAATATACTATCAACCACTGGATTGTACACTTTAAAAGGGCAAATTTTATAGTATTTCATTTACCTCTGAATAAAACTGTTATAAAAAGATACTGTGGATTAGCTAGAAATATTGCTCAAGTGAACGGGAGATACATGCCTAGTGACCTTTAGAGTGGTGCCGTAGGCCTAGGGACGCCTTAGGTAATGGATATAAATGTTTAGAGAATTCTCTACACTTATCTGACCAGAAAGTTAGACACTGTCAACAGAATATTGTCACATCTGCCTGAAGGTGCTATTTAGAGTGTCTGAAAGGACAGGGAGCTGGAAGTTGATTAAACTGATGGAGTACACTGTGTGACTGTTTTGAGTTCTTCTTGGTAATGAATATTTGTCACTTTGGCACAATTTGGCCTGAGACTTGCTTTCTTGGTAACATACTATTTTGGAGTGAGGTTATAGTGAGAGCTGCATAGCTCACATACTTCAGCAATTGAAGGCAACATATCACTACTAAACAGCCTAGTTGGATAGAATGATGAACAGTTGATACCCAGGAGAATTATTGACTATTATGTATTCATCAAGCTCCCAATCACTCTACTGAATTATCTTATTAATTTAAAAAGCTTTTATTTGTTAATTCTCTTGCTTTTTTCTGTGTACAAAATTAAATCTTCTGCAAGTAATTTAATTTTTCTCTTTCCAATACTGCCTAATTTTTATTTTATATCTTTCTCTGTAGAGTCTCTGAAATGATGCTAAATAATAACATTATTTGCAGCTCATTTCATTTTGTTCTGAATGATATAGATGAATAGTGTAACAAAAACAGACATCAAAAATCAAAATCAAATTCAGAAATCAATAGAAAATTTGCAAAGCCGCCTCCAAGTGTTTGCCTTTTCTGTGACTTTGGCCACTTTATTTAACCTCTCTGAATTTGATTAACTTATTTGGAAAATGGATCCTGCTAATAATTGCTACTTGGTAGGATTATGGTGAGGGTTAAGTGAAATGATTTATTTAAATGCCCAGCTCAGCGCCTGGCACTTAGTAAATAAATAGTAGGTGTGCAATTTGTGATACAGATTCTTGTTGAGTGTGATGGGGCACCTGGGGGAAATAATCAGTTCTGCATGCTAGGACAGAGCCATGGAGAGAGGCTGAAAGAGGAATTCTCATTTCCTAGCAGGAAAGGGGTTGGTGAGGAAATTTTGGGAAACAGAATGCTATGGGTAAAACGTCTAAGTGTAGAGAAGTGTGAGGCAGGATTCATTTGAGGGACTGCAAAGAATCTGAAGTGTCTGGAAGCAAAGTCTGTAAGAAATAATATGGATAGAGGTGCAGCTGGAGACATAGCCAGGGGTCAGAATGTGGCAGGTGCTCAGTGCAGTGTTACGGAGTTTGGAATTTCTGGAGGTAATGGGTTTTTTGCAAGCGAGGCATTTGCTCAAGCGTTTACAGTAGAGAGCTTTCTCCTGGAGGTGTCTTGGTGAATGAACTGGGATATGGGAGACAAGATGACCTGTTACTGAGGCGTCTTGCTTGGAGGAGAGGTTGGACAGTGTTACTGGCTGTACTCGTTTCCTGTGGCTGTTATAATAAATTGCCACAACCTTGTTGGCTTAAAAGAACAGAAATTTATTTTCTCACAGGTCTGGATGCCAAAAGTCCTAAATCAGTATTGCCGGGCTGAAATCAAGGTGTTGGCAGGGCTGATGTCCCTCCAGCTGCTCTAGTGGACAATCCATTCTTTGCCTTTTCCAGCTCCTGGTGGTTGCTGCTAGCATGCTTTGGCTTGTGACTGCATCACTCTAATCTTCAAGGCCAAAATCTACAACTCTCTCTGTGCTGTCACTGTCTTGTCTCTTCTGTAAGTGTCAAATCTCCCTCTGCCTTCCTCTTATATATGATATATGTGATTGAATTTTTGGCCTTCCAAGATAATCCAGGGTAATCTACTCATCTCAGGATTTATAGTTTAATCACGTCTGCAGAGACCTCTTCCAAATAAGGTCACATTTACAGGTTCCAGGGATTTGGACCTGATATGTTTGGGTGTCCATTATTTTTCTTTCACAGTTGTCATTTACTAGGACAGAAAATACAGGAGCCATAAGATTGGGGAAAAGGTAATGAATTTAGTTTTGTACCTGAGATTTAGGTTTTTAAGAAGACCCATATCCTGCTCTCAGTCTCTTTTTTTTCTCCATTTTTTTAAAGCATAAACATGTTTCCCTTTTCCAGCTGAAATCAGGAATTGCATTCTGTATCTTTTTCTGAAAGCTTGCATTACCCTGAGTTAACCCTCCATTACTTCAAACCCGTAGGTTCTTGTATTTATCTCAGGCTAACCAGAGCTCTGACATGTCAAGTTCTGACAAAGCATAGGTTTCTTTTTAAGTAGTTTCCAAGGATATCAATCACGGTTGAATGCTTCAGAACGAATATAAAAAATTTTACAGTTAATTCTCCTCTCCTCAAATTTCTGTTAGTGTCTAACCCAAATTCACCCATGCAAAGGTTGAAACTATAATTTTATAACTGGCCTTTTCAGCTTAACAGTAGTAATAAGTACTTTGAACAACCAATTTCAGCAGAAACTGAAAAATAACTTAAAATTTCTTTTATCCCTAGTGTCTGTTGGGTAATATCTGTCATTTATGATAAAGTTCTTGCTGTATATTCAGGCTACCAGAGGAAGCTGTTGAACTGAATTTTTTAGTCTATTTGTGCAGCTTCAAATCTGAAAGTCAATTATTCTTAACTTTCTTGAAAGCCAGATAATCTTGTTAAGTACTTTCCAATGACCCTATCCTTCAGAATTACTTGGTATCTTAGATGCTAGCTGACTTCGGCTTTTTAGTAAGTTTCGGTTTTAAAATATTTCTTTTTTTTTTTTTTTTGAGACGGAATCTCGCTGTGTCCGCCAGGCTGGAGTGCAGTGGTGCGATCTCGGCTCACTGCAAGCTCCGCCTCCCGGGTTCACGCCATTCTCCTGTCTTAGCCTCCCGAGTAGCCGGGAATGAAGGCGCCCGCCACCACGCCCAGCTAATTTTTTGTATTTTTAGTAGAGACGGGGTTTCACCGTGTTAGCTAGGATGGTCTCAATCTCCTGACCTCGTGATCCACCCGTCTTGGCCTCCCAAAGTGCTGGGATTACAGGCATGAGCCACCGCTCCCGGCCTTTTTTTTCATTTCTAAACCTTTCCTTTTTGCCTGTACACAGTTTGGCTCCCCTTGCTATAGAAATTGTAGTTTTGGGAAAAATATTTTTTCCTGAAGTGTGTTATGTTAAATTTCTCAGGGTATTGTTTATTCAGTGAATAAAAGAATGAATGAATCAGAGAGAATTAAACATTGCATTTAAATCACTTCCAAAGATTAAATTTGCTTTCAGTTGCTCAAAAAAAGTTTTGATTTCCTTGTCTTCATAAAAAAAATTCTGAAAACCATTTTGTGTGTATGTACATTAAAAAATATATATACATACAAATAACTTTCTGATTCCAGTCCATAAGATAACATAATGCCCTAAATAAAGGCCGTGGGCATGGTTCAGTGACACGGGGCTCAGTGATGCTGTCACTCTCAGGGATTTTCAGTTAATGGATTACCTATTAGAGCAAAGGCCCCAAATGCTAGATTCCCCTTCTACTCTGCCTTCTATAATAAAACACCTAACCTTACCTAAAGTGAAAAAAGATGGTGCTTTAGATTGGAGACTAAAACTCTTTGTTCATTCAACGGGCCCCACTTATGTGCAAGCTTGTGCTAGTTAGTTTCTGTAGCTGCCTAAGCAACATTTGGTAAAGACTTTGCAGGCTATCAGTGGTCCAGAGACTACCCTGAAAAATAGATAAATAAAAGGCCCTTAATAATTTACAAAATTTTAATTAAAACCAGAATCATTCTGTTTATTGACACAGGGCAATTTGCAGGGGACATTATGATTCAGAGATACTGGTCTCTGTCCACATGTGGAAAATTTATTCTGGACAGTGTTTGCAAAATGATAAAGCATTGTTTGGCTCTACTTATAAACTGTATTTTTGTCCCTATAGAAAATTAAATATTTTTTGTTGGGCTCTATTTACAAACTATATTTCCATTCCTGTTGAAAATTAAATAGAAAAATTGCACTCAAGGTACAGCAGTAGATTTTTTAATGTGTTGTTTCACTTCTGGTCACAGTGCTTTTTGGAATTAATTTTATGTCTCCAAGTTGAGGACTTAACCCCTAAAACAAGTATCTTGTATGTTTTTTTTTATTGAATTAGAACTTTAAAAATTTCTAATTTTTTAATTAAATTAGAACTTTAAAAAGATCACAAATAGCAAAATTGCCTTTACTCTGAAACTATTAACTTTAAAATTCACACACAGGTCGTCTTTTTCAAATTTCATCTGTGGAAGGATAATGATATTTGTTTCCCTTTTAAAGGATTTTTTAACAAGAATATTTATTAGGTGATTTTATCTGCTGAGCAGGAAAGAGTGAGTAGCATGCCTGCAACTTTAGGATTAACTCACAAGTCACTTTTTACTTTAAATACATCATGTTTTGCTCATTATACATATGAAGAATTCAAAGTTTTTATTTTCTACTATTAAATCCTTAATACATATAAATATAATAGACAAAATACTTAGCTTTTTAAAAATAATATTGCAGGATTTTTTCCTTAGTTTGGCTAAAGACAGGGTCCTTGTCCCATGGCCATGAAAATTTAGGCTCACAGACAATTCGAGGAGGGAGAAAAATGGGATGTAGTTGGCAAAAAGGAAAAAAAAAAGGGGAAACAGAGACTCTCTGTAAAGCCAGGGTCCCTACTGGGCTGCTTCCTATCTGGCAATTTGAATCTCAGGTTCTACGCAGGAAGAGGAGTGGCCAGGCTCCTCCCCGCTGCAAATGGGGCAAACTATGGCTCCACCACAGTGTGCATTCCCAGTGCACAGGCTGGTTGGAGTTTTGCCAGGGACCCCCTCCCACCTGACTCTCTCAATAAGGTACTTATTTCAGGACATATATTTATTTAGATCACTTAAATTATATATATGATTATCGATTATTTGAAAAATAGTTGGAATAAGAACTAATTACTGTACCTGGCTTTTGTTGTTGTTGTTGTCGTAGCTGAATCAATTTGACAGTTTTTAGATTACTGTTCTTTCTCCCTATAATAAACTGTGATTTTATACACCATCCTATATTGCTGTTTAGTTATTTCTGTAAATAAAATTCAGCCTTCTTGAAATAAACCTTTAATGCAGATTGTATTATTTTTGATAGTGCTTAGTTAGGTCTTGGCCATAGATTATTTGCTTGAAAAATACTTGCAGATTTGCTTTGAAGTTGAAAGAGAATTGCTACTTTCCAGTTTGAGAAAGACAAGCATGAGATACAATTTTAAGAGGCTAGCTGGCTGTTCAGTGTGGGTCTCAGAATGCCGACTGACAATAAAAACTACAACAGTAAAGACAACTGTGATATTCATATTGGCTACTCAGTAACTACTATATGGGAAACTGTCTTAAATTTGGAAGATGACTTGTTGAGCATAAAATCAGAGCAGGCTGGGTTATCAGATGAGCTAACTGACTGTTGTGTTTAGGAGAAGGCAGGCTGTTCTCAAGGATGAATATGCATGAGAATTGAGTAGGAAGGCACAGGAGTCAGGGAATTCTTTATCTTGGATGGTTTTGGAAAGGTGTTGCTAAATTCCTGCTTATCTACTTTTTAATTTACATTTCACGCAAAATACACCTCTCCAGTTAACCCAGTGATGTTACTAGAAAGGTGTCCCGATCCAGACCCCAAGAAAGGGTTCTTGGATGTTGCCCAAGAAAGATTTCGAGGTGAGTCAATAAAGTGAAAGCAAGTTTATTAAGAAAGAAAAGGAACAAAAGAACAGCTACTCCATGGGCAGAGGAGTGCCGAGGGCTGCTGGTTGCCCATTTTTATGGTTATTTCTTGATTATATCCACGGGGTGGATTATTCATGCCTTCCCTTTTTAGAACATATAGGGTACTTCCTGATGTTGCCATGGCATTTGTAAACTGTCATGGCCCGGGTGGGAGTGTAGCAGTGAGGAAGACCAGAGGTCACTCTCATCACCATCTTGGTTTTGGTGAGTTTTGGCCAGCTTCTTTACTGCAACCTGTTTTATCAGAAGGGTCTTTATGACCTGCATCTTGTGCCAGTCTCCTTATACTGTGACTAAGGATGCCTTAACCTCCTGGGAATGCAGCCTAGCAGGTCTCAGCCTTATTTTACCTAGCCCCTATTCAAGATGGAGTTGCTGTGGTTTGAAGACTTCTGATAGTATTTCTTCCTACAGGTTAGAATTAAATTGGCTGGGCCTCGGCTTTAGTTATGCTATTTCAGTTATCCCCCTTTAAGCTCATAGTCTAGGAATTTTAATGGAATTTGAGGATGAGTGGATACTAGAACAACTCAGGCAATTTATAGGTTATAATTTTGATTAGATATTTCATCAGATAATTTTTCTAACTTGTACACTGTATTTTTCCAAAATTTCTATTGAAGAATTTGTTCTTTTGTATTAGCTACATCTAGATTTGCAGAATAGAAAGACATGTTCAGGACTTTTAACCTAGTGTTGATGTTCAACATCATGTTATAAAATGGTAGGAACAAAGTTACAGGCATCCTAGCTCAAGCAGATGACAAGTCCATGGAGGGAAGAGTAGCCTTCTCATATAAAATCTGGTCATGGAGGGGTGTGTGTATGTTTATTTTTAAAAGTGCAATATATAAAAAACAAAGATTTTTTTCTATGAAAAATATAGTGGGTTTGGCCTCTCATTCTGGTTTTCTGTCCTCATTCTATAAGCAGCATCTCTCTTTATACTAGTCTATGAACAGGAATTTATTTTCCTTTATATTCATGTGGTAGGTAAAATTGGAGGCCTTTGACATTTTCAATACTCATAGAAAATAAGAAGTCTTCTGGATTTCTCCAGAAACTGAGGTATTTTGTAAAGAACAGAAGAATCAGATTCAGAATGATTGGTACCATTAGATTATTCTGTACTGGGCTGTGTACATTGACTCATTCACTCACTTTCTCTGAGCCCCAGCTTAGTTTCTGAATTTATGAAATGGCCTTCACAATAATACCTATCTTATTTTACTTAATGTGAATGGGCTTTGCTTCTAATAGGATATTGGGAAGATAAAATTCTTATTCCTAAAATAAATCTAAACTGAATGGTGCATTTTAACAATCACTGGTCTTTTGCAGTGTATACATCACTAAGAATATTTTCCTTTTCCAACTTTGCGATCATATATGCTTGAGTAAAGTAGTCTTTTGGGAATTCAACCTGTCAGAGATAATCTATTCTATTATATTCATATGACCAAAGTACAGGTAAAATTATTACCAAATATAATTGGAAAGTTAAATTGCAAATTTCAGACTATGTTATGAAGATTTATAGATTTTTACTTGTCATTATACAAAGGGTTTTTTGTTGGCTTGTTTTATTTTTGATCTTACCATTATGTGTTATGGATCACAATGGCTGAGTGAAACAATGTGACAAGTAAAGTTTATGATTAAGAATACTAATCTCAGCGGGGTGCAGTGGCTCATGCCTGTAATCCCAGCACTTTGGGAGGCAGAGGTGGGTGGATCACCTGAGGTCGGGAGTTTGAGACCAGCCTGACCAACATGGAGAAACCCTGTCTCTACTAAAAATACAAAATTAGCTGGGCGTGATGGCACATGCCTGTAATCCCAGCTACTCTCGGGAGGCTGAGGCAGGAGAATCACTTGAACCTGGAAGGCGGAGGTTGCAATGAACAGAGATCGCACCATTGCACTCCAGCCTGGGTAACGAGTGAAAGTTCGTCTCAAAAAAAAAGAATACTCATCTGTCCTATTGTTTATAGAAATCCTTTATTTTGTATTTGTGGTTAAAACTTGTAGTTTATTTTTTTTTACATAAGTAAGGCATTGAAACTACATGATTTTCTGTTAAATACGTACATAGCATAGTTTTTGAGTCACAGCCACATCACAATATTTTGCACTGTCATCTCTGTTTTTTTGTGAATTCTGAAAGAAACAGCATAATATTTTCCTAGGATACCTAATGAGCAAAAGCTTGAGTCACAGGAAGGATTGGGAGAATTCCCACTTAAGTGAAGAACTACCTTTGTATAATAAATATAATGTCACAGTAATTTCTCAAATGGAAATGTTTTAGTTTACTGTTTGCTAACCGTTGCTGGAGTCATGGTGTCTGCTCAGGGGACAGAAAGGATTAATTTAATGTGATTACTGACTAGTGGTCTTCTAATCTGATTTAATTCCAAATATGAGTATGTCTGATGTTTCTCCTTTCTAGGAATATTTCAAGACATGATCTCATTTCATTGTTTGTGCTGCATTGGTTTGTTGAATATGTTTTTGTTTTTTCAGTGTATAGTGATTCAATGGCGGCAATCACTTTTGAGAACCTGAAATAAGAAAGGATGCCAGATTTATATGAAAAAGGGACTTTTCAGATACCAAGGGCAGTACAAATAAATGCACATGAATAGTAGTCCTAGTGGAAAATAAGACAGCTTGAACACGAGATTTTTATTATAAGTATTACAAATTGAAATGTAATTTAGCTACTCCATTTTAATTAATGGAAGATGATTATTAAACACAAATTTGAACTTTTAGAACCCTCAAGTCATCATTCTAGATAATCAAATTTTTCAGAAAAGCATATAGCTTTAAATCATAATTTTATAAAAACTAATTTTAGGTGGAAATTTTTCTAATAATTTCCTGCCTTGTGAATCAGAGCATATTGAATTTAACTTTTTAATGAGTACTCAGGGTTATTGTTATGAGCATAAAGTATAGGACTGCATTACTACCACTGAGGGTAGCAATACACTAGTATCAGAGGAATCCAGGCTTTCCTACTTTCTGATTTTCCATTGTTATTCTATTTTAGAAATATCTGGAAAAAAAAGTACTAATAATGGCCTTGTGTACTTTTTTAATGTTTACTGAAAAGAGTCTTCAGGCAACATCTCTATGTTCATCTTAAATTCCGAAACCGTAATAGCAACATAAAACTCATCAGGGTTGATGTAACACAAATGTCAGTAGATGCTGCTTCACAACTGTATTCTAATTATATGGACTAACGTGATCATGTGCTCTGAACTGCAAACAATTTTGCATTAATAACAACTCACAATTCAATTCAGGAAGCATTTCTGAACACCTTTATATTCTTAATGAAGGATTAAATGGAAACCTAAAACAGTTAATTCTCTCAAAGAGATTTTAATCTTAGGATGTAAGGAGTCATGTTATTGGTTAAGTGGAATGAAAGTCTGAGAAAATAAAAGCTTTCTCTTATTTTTGGAGTCCAGTGATGTTCAGTCTGAATATATACAAGCAGACCCTTGGGACATGTTTATTTAGTCATATATATGTATATGTGTGTGTATGAGTATGTTTATATATATATACACAATTATGTACATACACATTTTAATATGTCTATATAAATATAAATATTTTGCTTTTATATCCAGCTAACATTTTCTGTTTTATTCAACAGAAATCTTCTTGACAGAGACACATTTTCTAAATCTGATCCAAGTAAGTATGTATTGCTTGCCTTTTGAAAAATCATTTGATTTTGCAAAAGTTGTAGGAAACTCATAGTTCTTGTTTAAAGGTTTGTTTTAAAGCCTAGAAAGCAACAGGAGAATGGTCCCAAGCCCTACATACTCATCAACCCCGGGCAGTACTGTGGGTAAAGAGGGACTTGCTGAGCACTTTGAGAATAAAATGAGAATGCAAATGACTCCAATGTGGGACAGTTCACTTTGAAATTAAAACCTCGTACTATGGCCATTTGGTAGAAATTATTATATTTGAAAGAAAACTGTAATGGGCCATAATTTAAAGTTATTTAGTCACAGAGTAATACGTTTCTTTTTTTTCTTTTTTTTTTAAATGAAAGTGGTGGTCGGGCAAGGTGGTTCATGCCTATAATCCCAGCACTTTGGGAGGCCGAAGCAGGACTATTGCCTGAGCCCAGGAGTTCAAGACCAGCCTGGGCTACATAGTGAGACCCACCCAACCCCGTCTCTTAAAAAAAAAAGAAAGAAAAGAAAAATAAAATAAAAGTGGTATATACAATTTACAACCAAGTGAAATATGTAACATCTGATATGAACCAAAGTGTTTGATTACTAATTAGAGGTATTGAAAATTGGAGATAACTTGTAAAGTGAGAAGGGTAGTTTGAATTAGAAAACAGCAGAATGAACTGTATAAATCAATGTGTTTCCGAATCTTGTAATATTTAGAAATGGATATACAACAGTTCTCTATCTCTACAAATGTGTGAACAAATATGGTTGAATTACAGAGGGAAGGTTTTTGTCAGTTGTCAGAATTCTTGAGGTAGTCATTGGGAAAAAGGCATTGCAATTGTGGGTATTAAAAATTCCTGGGGCTCATTTGACAAGTGGGTGGGACACTTCCTTTCCCTTAATCTTTACCCAAAACTCTTAATCTCCCTTTTGGGAATTCCTTTCTTGGTTGACAGGATTTCTTACCTATTTATAAATATTAAGGGTGGAAGTTATAAATATTAAATGTAGAGCATGACTTGCCCCAAGTTTTCGTTCCTATTATACCTTTGAGCACTGTAAATATCTTAGGGAGAGCTTGGCTTGTTTTTCACAACATAATGAAATATTTCAAATTGTTTAAATTATGGTTTTAAAATTTATATATGAAGACCTTAGCAAGTACTTATTATTTTATGTGCCAAGCTCAATTCATACTAAGTTCTAAAGATCTGGCATAACAGTTTGTTTTCTGCTTATTTAAATCAATTTTTAGTCATATGATGATTTACTAGCCTTTTTTTTTTGCAAGGGTAAGTCTAGGAATTAGGCATTTAATTTTGATGTAGCTTTTGAACAGCTGAAAAATAAATTGTATACATTCACATATGATTTTCATAAAAGACATTTATATGTGCGTATTTTTTCATCTTTTGTAGTTTGTGTCTTATATGTACAAGGAGTTGGAAATAAAGAATGGAGAGAGGTAAGTTTAAAACTTTTTTAAAAAAATCACTGGGCTTGAAGATACAGTAAGTTATAACTTGATCAAGATGATACTTTCTATTTTCCATTGTAAGTCCTTTTGAACCCAAAGATTGAATTGTTTTTATCTTAGGAAAGTTACCTTTGTGTTTTGTTTTTAATAACAGTGAATGTTTAGCTGATTTATGACCTTCTTGTGAGATATTCTAGTCCTGAAACTTGTACTTCCTTTATCCAGACATAAATTTAATGTGTTGCAATCTATTTGACATGATTTCTTACAAAATTTAAGTTTGTGGGTTAAGTCTTATTTTTAGAGATCAATTGCTGATACTTATAAAATGCCACTTGAAAAGATTTCAGTTGTGTTGCTTAATACCAAATATTGCCTACTTTTTGCAACATATTTAAAAATAAAGTAGAAATTCAGCTTCTTAATACAAATGTATGTTGTTTAATGAAGCAAAAGTGAAGAGACTGAATTGTTAATTTATTTTCTAGAGTGTCTCCACATTCAAATGGGCGGATGATCATTGGAAGGTGGAGGGCATATTAAATAAAAGGCATTTCCATCTGCCTATAGTTGCCAGTTATCTCAGGAAGTTAGTGCATTGTTTTAATGAGGTTACAGTTTCTGGCTAGATTTCCCTAGTGAGGTTAGTGCTATTTGTGCCACAGAGTGCATTTGCCAGTCATTTTACCACTGTGTCTCAATTTTGAGTAGAGGGCAAGAATAAATCATTTAATTTATTCTTAAAACCTGGGGAAAATAATTCAAAGCTTGTTTCTACTGATAATGAGCTGGTGGTCAGTAGTCTGCTGAACATGTTTATCGTATCTAACTGCTTCTGCACATTTTTTTTTTGTTTGAGACAGAGTTTCACTCTTATTGCTCAGGCTGGAGTGCTATGGCACAATCTTGGCTCACTGCAACCTCTGCCTTCCAGGTTCAAGCGATTCTCCTGCCTCAGCCTCCCGAGTAGCTGAGATTACAGGCATGCGCCACCATGCCCGGCTAATTTTGTATTTTTGGTAGAGACGGGGTTTCTCCATGTTGGTCAGGCTAGTCTCAAACTCCCAACCTCAGGTGATCCACCTGCCTTGGCCTCCCAAAGTGCTGGGATTACAGGTGTGAGCCACCACGCCCAGCTCATTTCTATTTAGTTCAATATCTACCTCAAACTCTGTATATCAAATATAAACTCATCATCTTTATGCTATGTCTGCTTCTTCTTTGCTTCAAATATAGCTAAAACTACCAGCCAAAATATGAAACTGCAATTTTTGTAGTCATCCTGAGTTTCTCTCCCGTATCTTCATAACTTAATGTCATCCAGTGCTATGAATTCTCTTTCATAAAAAAGAAAAATCCATGCTTGGATAAGCCAGCCTTTTTATTCAGACCCATTTTCTCTTTTGTCCTCCCTGTTGCAACAATTCTCCTACCTTAGTATATGCCCCCTTTTTCCATGTTCATCTGTCTAATCATCCCTTTGATTATCTTCCTGAAAGACATGCTGTCTTGTCATTCTCTCCAGAGTTCCCTTTCTCAAAGGCCTGAAACAATACAGTGGAACGGCTTACTGACCATAGATGCCAGGCTAGATGGGACTGAGCATTGACCAGGGTGTCCACAAAATGGCTTTGCTTCAGGCACCAAAAAGTAACCAGGATAAGGATACCTAAGTTATAGTACCAGGCATCTGGGCCAGTGCAAATGACTAATAATGAGGCAACTGGAAACTTTATTGGATAAAGGGAGTTTGAAGAAGGACAACAACAAAAAATTTTGGACCTAAACCAGGGTTCTGGGAGTTAATTCTTAAGTGGGTGCTGACCAAGTAGTATTGGCCAGTTAGTTTAAGGGCAGCCTCAGCTCAAAATCTCCCTTCCTTAAAAAATTTCTCATGCTTTCCTATTGCCTAAGCAATGAATGATAAATTTCTTATTTAATTTACAATTTTTATAATAAAGATGGCTAACTAATGTTCCAAACCCTTCACAAATATTGACTAATTTAGTTTTCACAGCAACTTTAAGAGGTAGGTTATATTATAATCCTTATGTTTCATGAGAAAAATGAAACACAGAAAGGTTAAATGACTAGACCAAAGTTACCCAGTTGTAAATGACAAAGTGGGAATTTCTTTTTTTTAACTTTTAAATTATTTAAATTTTTATTTTTATTTTTATTTATTTATTTATTTATTTTTATTATACTTTAAGTTAAGGGGTACATGTGCAGAATGTGCAGGTTTGTTACATAGGTATACAAGTGCCATAGTGGTTTGCTGCACCTGTCAACCCGTCATCTACATTAGGTATTTCTCCTAATGCTATTTCTCCCCTAGCCCCCCACCCGCCGACAGGCCCCGGTGTGTGATGTTCCCCTCCCTGTGTCCATGTGTTCTCATTGTTTAACTCCCACTTATGAGGGAGACCATGTGGTGTTTAGTTTTCTGTTCCTGTGTTAGTTTGCTGAGAATGATGGTTTCCAACTTCATCCATGTCCCTGCAAAGGACATGAACTCATCCTTTTTTATGGCTGCATAGCATTCCATGGTGTGTATGTGCCACATTTTCTTTATCCAGTCTATCACTGATGGGCATTTGGGTTGGTTCCAAGTCTTTGCTATTGTGAACAGTGCCGCAGTAAACACACATGTGCATGTGTCTTTATAGTAGAATGATTGAGTTATAATCCTTTGGGTATATATCCAGTAATGGGATTGCTGGGTCAAATGGTATTTCTAGTTCTAGATCCTTGAGGAATCACCACACTGTCTTCCACAATGGTTTAACTAATTTATACTCCCACCAACAGTGTAAAAGCATTCCTATTTTCTCCACATCCTCTCTAGCATCTGTTGTTTCCTGACTTTTTAATGATCACCAGGCCATCTGGCTACACAGCCCTTGCTATTAGGCCATCTTGCTGTGCAGAATTCTTGTCTGATACCAACCTTTATGCTCTTCGTTTATAAATGGAAAGAAACTTTACCAATCAATTTTTGGGGCTTTATTAATATTTTCTTATGCTTGGCTTGGAAAGAAAGACAAGTAGAAAGAGGAAGCCTACAGTTTATGAGAAATGGCATAATATTAAAATAGAAAAAACAGAGTATTTTGCTTATTTTTTATTTTTGAAGGAGTTAAAAGTATTGGTAAGAAGGAATAATGATCAAAAAGGGTTTGAAAACAAAATGAAAATGGAGAAAATGATGAGATAGGACCCAGAGTTATATAGAGTAGGTGGGAGCTGAAGATGGCTGAAGATGGGGAAATACAAATTAAGAGGCATTTTCAACATAGTTTCAGAAGAGTGAAAAGTATTAAAGAGAGAATGGTCTGGAAGAATAGAAAGGAAGTGCGAAATGCAAGAGACAAGCATTTTGGAACATTTAGCAACTAATTGAACTTGCTGGATAATGAAAAGGGATCAAAAAATGAATGACACTGTGTGTGTTACTAAGCCCCACAAAACCATTTGAGAAAGAGTTTATTTTGAGAGCCAGCATAATGTTGTGGTTGAGGGCATGCACTTGATCTTTCAGTGACTCTGTTTCCTCATTTGTAACATGAGAAATAATGATAATGATTCTAGCTAATATAGCTGTTATGAGGATTAAATATGAATCACTTGTAACAGTATCTGGCACATAAGAAGTACTATACAATTAAGGATACATTATAATTCTAAGACATTAAACAACTTGTAAAAGGATAACAAAACTAGGAAGTGGCAGGTAGGTAAATTCCTGCATTATAAAATTCTGTAAAATTCTTTGCACAAGCCCAGCAGTTGATGGGAAAATGACTTATGGGATTTACTTGGCCTCAAACCTAATATGAAGCTGTGGTGTTACCTAGCTGCTAAAAAGCTAGTGCAATCTGAGGATCCATTGATGGATGTGCAGTGTTTACATCAAGGAAGATAATGCTATTATGTTGAACCATATGAAATTGTCATATTTTATAGGTCAGAAATGGTTGAATCTTGGCAGTTTCATGTGATTCAACTGAATACTATTGCATTTTGCTCCAGTGGAAAATTGCTTTTTTATCTACATTTCAAACCATTGGAAAGCCAAGGCTGTATTTGAAGAGGGCTGCCATTTTGAAGAAAGGGATAGAAACTATACCATACGAATAAAATAATATTTAATCTGAAAAAATGCAAAGACTGAACAATTCACAGTACTTTCTTCAGACTCTTAAAATATTTTCATTTGGAAATGGGGGTATACTTGATGTTCAAGAGAAAACAAAAAATTTTAAGCAAAGTTTGGAGAGACAAATAGATAATATTTAGTCTACTGTGAAGAAAACCTTTGTAACACTTAAAGTATCCCACAGTAGTAGGTTTTTCAGAGCTGTATCCTGAAAGTATAGCGCATTTACTGTTACTGGAAGTATTGAATAAGAGGCTGCATTGATTCATCAGGAAAGAAGTTGAACTTCATTATCTCTATTTTCTTACAAGTTTGTGAATTCTTATGATGCTATGGAGTTCAAAGAGTTTCCTAGTCATTTTATTAATTCTACCAAGTATCTTTTAAGTATTGAACACTATTTTATAAGTATGAAAAGTAGCAAAGCTACTGTAATAATTACTGTTAGGATTATTTGAAATCAGAATGGGAAAATTTAGATACTTTATTAATAGTTTTTAAATGTATCCTTTATTTATCAATTTGACCAATATTATTGGGTGCCAATTATGTAGTAGTGAATAAAATTTAAAAATAAATAGTGTTTCTACCTCAGGGAGCATGCAATATAATTGGAGAATTTTCTCAGCAATTTTGGTATATCTGTAAAATCAATTTATTGATGGAGGTATCAGCATTATCTCAATAATATAGTGGTTATGTTTGTATTTAAATTCAGGTATATTTTGGAAAAGCATGTATATAACAAGCCATATGAATTTATGTTCTGAGATGAATCACTTTTAGATAATAAGGGGAATAAGTGAAAAAATAAAGCTTAAAAATGTATTGAAACAAATGCTCCAAATAAATATAAAATTATTTAAAATTAATCTGTAGTCAAAATTTGTGGTTTAAAAATTATCTCTAACATGATTATAATTACCACTATATTGTTGATAAATTCTATCTAATGAGTGAATTATGAAAAACTCTTGAAGTAACGGATGTTGTAAAACTAAAATTATTTTTAGTGTGTAGTAATTTCAGAGCTAGAAATGATGTTTAAGCACCATGAATTATGAAAATGTGGAAACCTCCTAGTGGCAAATGGAAATAACAAAGTAACATCTCTAAGAATGGCCACTTTACTCAGAGTTGGGAGAATGTTCCAACTAATTTCTTGAAGTTAGATTTTAGTTATCCATAGACAATTCATTTTGTGAATTACTTTTAAACATTTAAAATTATAGAATTTGTTCCAGGTTCCCTAAGTTAGTATGTGATAAAAGAAGGCAAGTGGAAGTTGTTTATGAACTACAGTGATTATAGCATAGAGGCAAACAAGTCTGCTTTCAAATGCCGATTACTACAGTTTGACATTGTCTCCACTCTGCTCCATTCCATTGACACTGAGCTATTTTAACATTTATTCATCTCCATACTGAATAATACTTGTTTTGGTATCTCTCTCTCTCTCTCTGTCTCTCTCTCTCTCTCTCTCTCTCTCTCTCACACACACACACACACACACACACACACACACACTATACTATTCAACAAACATCAAGGACTTTTTTGTAAACTTACTCTCTTACATGTCTTAGCTTCACTGTTTAGCTTTGTGCTTCCAAAGGTGAAACCTCGTGCACAGCATTTAGAATATGGCTTTCTTTGTTCTTAAAAGGTGTTCAGGGCCAGGTGCAGTGGCTCAGGCCTGTAATCCCAGCACTTTGGGAGGGTGAGGTGGGCAGGTCACCTGAGGTCAGGAGTTAGAGACCAGCCTGGCCAACATGGTGAAACCCTATCTCTACTAAAAATACAAAAATTAGCAGAGTGTGGTGGTGGGCACCTGTAATTCTAGCTACTCAGGAGGTTGAGGCAGGAGAATCGCTTGAACCTAGTAGTCGGAGGTTGCAGTGAGCTGAGATCCCGCCATTGCACTCCAGCCTGGGTGACAGAGCGATACTTTGTTTAAAAAAAAATGTTCAATTAATATTTGATTGAACACCCAAATTTAGGGACACCCGAATTTAGCCTCTCAACACAGGCACATACAGTTTAACGTCATGGTTTCAGAATTTATGTGGTGGAAGAATCCCTATAGATAATTTGCTATGTAGGCCACATTTTTATATTAAATGTGAGAACATGTATGTGTCATGATAACTAGTTATGGGAGCCTAAGACTTGTTCTGCTGCCCTTTATTCTAAGCTTAACTACATGTTTTGGAATTTGAATTATAGCATCAATTGAAAACATGTTATATATCTCTTAAGGCTTAGGGATACTCATTACATTATTTCATTTTTGTCTTAGAGAAATACTATGATGAAACATACAAAGCTAATGATACAGGAGAGAGGAAGCTTTTAAAATTTTTAGGCCATAACTGTTGCTAATTGATTAAGCATTCTGCATGGCTACTGATACTTTCTTCACTATTGAATGCATGTTGCAGAACAACTGAATATTTTTATTTTGTTTTGTTTTCTGTCTTTTAGAAAAGATTTGAATTGCATTATTCTGCTGTGCATTCAATCTACAGCAACTATATTTCTTTAGTAGATATTGGAAGGAGTCTCACAATATGTATAAAGACTTCCTGTGATTGATTGAGGGGATTGTAACAGAAGACATTTGCTGTGTTCTTGTAAAAACAGTTGTGTGACATGTGGTTGAAAGAACTTAGTAAAGCCAATATATTTTATGAAATGCGTGGCCATTAATATTTCAACAAAAGTATGTTGTATGTTACTCAGACAAATACTGTATTGATCCACTTGGATTTCCAATGTCAGCAATACCAGTTTTGGAAAGAGATCTGCAGACTGGCATTGGAATCTTTCTGTTCAGAAAAGGACGTAAAATAGTATTTACAAACATTACTGGATATAGAGAGGCAGAAACTGTGGGTTAATATAAGTTACCTGTAGTTTATAAAGCTTAGTTGAAGTCTATTAGCTCTGTGCATATCATGTGTTCAATTGAACAAGTATACACTTTAGACAGAACTTTGCTGGTTGTTAGCTGAAAAGCAAATCCAGAATATTTTGATCTCTTAAATTATTTTTTCTGTCCCATTTTTAATATACCTTTTTATCAAAATAAAACACATCCAAATGAAGGGCACAAATTATACAGCACAATGAATTAGAAGTAAACACACCCAGGTAACCATCATCTAGATGAAGAAAGGGAACATTACTAGAAATCCAGGAATTTTGATTGTGCTCCCTCCCTCCTCCTAAATTGAACTACCATTCTGATTTCTAACACTATAGAATAGTTTTGCCCATTTTTAAGCCTTTTATATACATAGAATCATATAGTTTATACTTAATTGTGTTGTTTCTTTCAGTGAGCTCTATCCATGCCTGCGGCAATAGGTTGTTCATGCCTGTTGCTGCATGGTTCTCTATTTTATGAATATACCCCAATTTACTTATCCATTCTACTTTGGACAGATTTTTGGCTTGTTCCCAGTTACTGAATATTAATATCTGTCTAGAACAATCTTGTACATATCTTTTGGGTCTTACATTCACATATTCCTAATACATGTAGGAGTGAAATATCTGAGCCATAGGGGGAATGCATATTTTCTTCTTCAGTAGATACTGCCAAATGGTTTTCCATAACTTTCCATCTGCCACTTGTATTGCCATACATCTTTGCCAATGCTTTTTATGGCCAGTTTAAAAAATATTTCCATTCTTGTTAGTGGGTAAAGATATCCTACTTTGTTTTTTGATTTGCCGATGATTACTATGGTTCAGAACCCTTAGGTAGGCTTAATGACCATTTGGCTATTCTCTTTTAAGAAGTGTTGTCTATTTTCTTACTAATTTTTAGGAGTTATATCTTCAGGACAGGAATTCCTTGTTGCTTGCGTATCTTGCAAATATCTTTTTCCTTTATATAGTGTGGCATTCTACTCTTTGAATAGTGTATTTTGATGAACAAAAGTTCATAATTTTAATTTAATCTTAGATAGCGATATGATCCTTTATAATCATAACATATCCTTTATGATCTGTGCTTTTGTTCTCTTTAAGAAAATCTTCTTCTCTGAAGGCCATGATGATATTTCCTAGTGTTATCTTTTAGAAGTTTTATTGTGTTACCTTTCATGTTTAGACCTACAGTTCCTCTGGGATTAATTTTTGTATATGGTTTGAGATGAAATTTACTTTGATGCCACTGTAGTGTTGAATTGACTCAGGAACATTTGTTGATGGGATCGCCTTTCTCCGCTGCACAATTACATCACCTTTATCATAAATAACTGTAAATGTGAGGACTTTGTTGAGGATTCTATTGTGTAATACCATACTGTTTTAATAACTAGTGCTGATGGCATGAGCTTTGTAGTTTTTTTTTTCTTCTTCTTTAGGATTTTCTAGGGCAGGGGCTGGCAAACTTTTTTCTGTAAAGGGTCAAACGTAAATAGGAGCCAGGGCAAAGATTTTAGGCTAGGTGGGCCTTATAGTCTCTCTAGCTACTGTAGCATGAAAGCAGCCATCGATAGTAAATAAATGGATGATGATGGGACTATGCTTCAGTGAAACTTAACTTACAAAAACCAGCAGCAGGCCAGATTTGGCCTATGGGCTATAGTTCTTGAACCCTATTTCTAGGATATTCTTAGCATTACACAGCTCAACAGAAATTTTAGAATCTGTCTGTCAATTTATACATACATTTATCCTTACTGTACTGACAGGGGCCTCCTGTATAGTGTTGAATAAAAGCGGTGACAGGAGGCATTCTTTTTTCTTTTTTTTTTTTTTTTGTGAGAGATGAAGTCTCGCTCTGTCGTCCAGGCTGGAGTGCAGTGGAGCAATCTCGGCTCACTGCAAGCTCCATCGCCCGGATTCACACCATTCTCCTGCCTCAGCCTCCTGAGTAGCTGGGACTACAGGCGCCCGCCACCATGCCAGGCTAATTTTTTTTGTATTTTTTAGTAGAGACGGGGTTTCACCGTGTTAGCCAGGATGGTCTCGATCTCCGACCTTGTGATCCGCCCGCCTCGGCCTCCCAAAGTGCTGGGACCACAGGCGTGAGCCACCGCACCCGGCCGACAGGAGGCGTTCTTGTTCTTGATCCCATGGGTAAAATTTCCATGTGTTTGCATTTATTCAGATAATTATATGATTTTTATTTTGTCATGAAGGTGAAATACATGCTTGATTTTCAGTGCTAAAACACGTATTTCCATAATGTTTCCAGCTGAATAATAATGTATTGTCTTTTAAATATATTGCTTACTAGGCTTTGCTACTATTTGTTAGAATTTTGCCTGTTATGAATTATATTGATCTATAAATTTACTTCTTTGTCATAAACTTGTAGCTTTTGTTGTTAAGATTACGCAAGCCTCATTACTTCTGTTTGAAAGCATTTCCGTTTTCTCTTTGAAGGAATATGAGTAAAATTGGTGTTATATTTTAGTTAAATGTCTGACAAAGTTTGCTGTTAAAGCATTCTGAGTCTGGACATTTCATTATAGGAGGTTTTAATATCAGATTCAGTATCTTCGTTACATACATGTCTACTTACAATTTCAATTTCTTCTGTTAGTTTTGTGTGCCATGATTTTTCAGGAATTTGTCCATTTAACCTAAATTTTCAATTTATTGGCATAACACTGCTTGTAATACGCACGTATGCCATGTGTACTTTCTGTAGGATCTATCATGATGTCCCTTTTTTACCTTCGTATATTGATAATTTGTGTTTCTTTTTTTGGTTCTTCTTGGCAAAGGTTTATCAGTTATTAGTCTTTTCAATAATCAATTTCTGCCTTTGATGGTTATCTCTAATTAAAAAACTGTCATTGGTTACTGCAACTAATTTTTTTTTCTCATTTTTGGGTTTAATTTGATCTTTTATTTCTTTTTTGAGTCACAGTCTCATTCTCTCATCCAGGCTTGAGTGCAGTTGCATGACCTTGGCTCACTGCAGCCTCCATCTCCTGGGTTCAAGTGATTCTCATTGGTCAGCCTCCCAAGAAGCTGGGACTTCAGGTGTGTGCCACCAGGCCTGACTCATTTTTGTATTTTTAGTAGAGCCAGGGTTTTGCCATGTTAGTCAGGCTGGTCTTGAACTCCTGACCTCAAGTGAACCACCTGCCTCGGCCTCCCAAAGTGCTGGGATTACAGGCGTGAGCCATTGCACCCAGCCTTTCTCTTCTAAGTTCTTGAGAATGACAGCTTAACAGGTATTGTCAGTCATTTTTCTAATATATGCATTTTAGGCTAAAAATTCTCCTTTGAGAGGCTTTAATTATATCCAAGTTTGTTATGTTATGCTTCTGTTACCTTCCAGATTCAAAGTTATTTTTTAAAATTTGAAGCTATGTCGGGCGTACAGAAAAGGTGCAAATATAGTATAAAGGATTTTTTCCCTTTAAACTGTTTGAAAACAAGTTGCTGACAAGATGCCCCACAACATCTGAATGCTTTATTTACATAAAAGACATGCTTCTCCATAATCATAATAACCAGAATCAGGGAATTAAACTCATATGTTTCCACCATCTAATCTTCAGGATTATATAAGAGAAATATATAATGATTATAATATATATAATAATATGTATAATGCTAACAAGCTAATTTGACCTACAGTTACACAGTCAGGATCTTGTTGACCACATGTGCTTATGGTGCATTTCATTATATTTTTTCTGTTCTTTGCATTTCTACAATTTGGCAAATTGAATCTGAAGGTTGAATAGAGATTTAGTTTCTTTAACAAATCTATTGGTGGTTGTAAAAACTTTCATTGGAAAGCAAATTATGTCTTGTTTTCACTCTTTTGTGATATTAGTACCCTTTGATGCTTAGTGCCTAGATCATTGGAGATTTTCATGTATTAGTTGGAATAATGTTATACTATACCAACATTAGCAGATTATATTGCCATTCATGCTCTATTTTCTCTCAGCCATAATTTAGTCTTAATTCTGTAAGTAATGCTCACCACTACTCTATATGTCAATATTTCTCTAGTAATTTTGGTTTTATAAAAATCAATCTTTAGTAGATTCCTTAGAAAAGTTCATAGGAACAGTATTTCCCTAGTTCTTGCATGTTGATAACAATTTGTGTCCTTTATATTTGAAGAACATAAAATCTTTTGATCACATTTTCTTTCCTTGTGTATATTTAATATATTATTCCATTTTTATTCTGTCATAAAGCATTTCTGACAAAAAGTTTGATGAAAATATAATTTTATTTTAAGCCATGTACTCATTCTGCATGAATGGCTAGTGGATTAGTTTTCTTTTTTAAATAATATTAAGTACTTTCACTAGACTGTATCTTGGTATTAGTCATTCAAGATTGATGTTCTGTGTAGGTCATGTTTTCTTTTAATGTTTCAATTTGTTTTTGTGTTTGAAAGTTTAATAAGTCGTTTTTAATATTCGTTCTGATTTGCTTTGCTTTGATTTTTCTTTATTTTTTATTGTGATAAGAACACTTAATATATGACCTTTAAAAAATTTTAAGTGTACAGTACAGTATTATTAACTATTGGCAGTGAACTTACTCATCTTGCATAACTAAAACTTTATACCCATTGAACAACAATTTCCCGTTTTTCTCTCCCCCGCCCAGCCAGTGGCACCCACCATTCTGTGCTGTTTCTTTAAGTTTGACTATTTTAGATACCTCATGTAAGTGGAATTATACAGTATTTGTCCTTCTGTGACTTGTTTATTTCAGTTAATATAATGTCCTCCAGGTTTATTCATGTTGCTGCATATAGCAGGATTACCTTATTTTGTAAAGCTGAATAATATTCCATTGTATATTTCCACATTATTTTTTGTAATAAGAACACTTAACATAATATCTACACTTTTAGCAAATTTTTAAGTATGGAATGCTGTATAGTTAACCATAGGCACCATGCTGTACAGCAGATCTCTGGGACTTACTCATTTTTCGTAACTGAAACTTAATACCCTTTGACTAATTCTTCCCAGTTTTCCCTCCCTTCAACCCCGGACAGACATTCTTCTACTTTTTGCTTCTATGAATTTGAATATTTTAAATTCATCATATAAGTGATATTATGTAGTATCTGTCCTTCTGTGTCTGGTTTATTTCGCTTAGCATAATATCTTCCACATTCATCCATGTTGTTACAAATGGCATGATTTCCTTCCTTTTAAAGGCTGAATCATGTCCCATGGTATGTAGACTATTGTGAATAATGCTGTAATGAACATAGGAGTGTAGATATCTCTTCAAGATCGTTGAGTTTTTTTTTTTTTGATATATACTCAAAAGTGGGATTGCTGGACCACATGATAAATATTTTTAATTTTTGGAAATTTCATACTGTTCTCCATAGTGGCTGCACCATTTTACAATTCCACCAATAGGGCACAAATGCTCTAATTTCTCCACATCCTCAAAAACAATTCTTCCTTTTTTTTTTTTTTTTTTTTGATAATAGCCATTCTAACAGGCATGAGACAATATCTCAGGGAAGTGTGAATTTACAGTTCTCCAATGATTAGTGATGTTGAGCATCTTTTCATATACCTGTTGACCATTTGTGTATCTTCTTTGGAGAAATGTTTATTCAAGGTTTTTTTTTTGCCTATTTTTAAATTCAGTTATTTGGTTGTTTTGCTGCTGAGTTTCCGATTTCTTTGTATATATTGGTTGTTAATCCCTCATCAGATGGTACACAAATATTTTCTCCTTCTGTAGGTTGCCTTTTGACTCTGCTTTCCTTTGCCATGGAAAAGCTTTTTAATTTGAGTTAATCCCACCTAATTTTGCTTTTGCTGCTTGTGCTTTTGGTGTTATAATCAAGAATTCATGGCCCAAGACCAATGTCATGAAACTTTTACCCTATGTTTTCTTCTAAGAGTTTTACAGTTCCACATCTTACATGTATGTCTTTACTTCATTTTGAGTAGCCTTTTGTGTATGATGTAGGATAAGTGGCCAGTTTCATTTATTTGTATATGAATATTGAATTTTTTCTACACCATCTGTTGAAGAAATGATCTCTTCCCCATTGACACCCTTGTTGAAGATCAGTTAAACATCTCTGTGTGAATTTATTTATGAGCTTTCTCTTCTATTCTAATGATCCATGTGGCTGTTGTTATCAGTACTATGGTATTTTAATGACTATAGCTTTTTAGTATATTTTGAAATCAGGAAGTGTGATACCTGGAGCTTTGTTCTTTTTCAAGATTGCTTTAGCTATTCAGGATCTTTTGTGGTTCCATATGAATTTTAAGATTGTTTTGTCTATTTTTATAAAAAATGTCATTAGGATTTTGATAATTATTGCATTCAATCAAAGATCAAGATCACTTTGGGTAGTGTGATTATTTTGATTTTCCAATCCATTAACATGGAGGTTTTTCCATTTTTTTGTCTTTCTTATTTATTTCATTCATGCTTTGTGTTCAGTGTCTTTTACCTTCTTAGTTAAGTTTATTACCAAGTATTTTATTCTTTCTGATTCTGTTAGAAAGAAATTATCTCTTAAGTTTCTTTTTTGATGGTTCATTGTTGGTGTATAAAAAGCACAACTGATTTTTGTATATAGATTTCGTATCTGCAACTTATGAATTTGTTTATTATTTCTAACAGTTTTTGTGGAGTCTTTGGGATTTTTTTTTTTAACCTATAAGTTCATTTGCAAATGAAGATAATTTTACTTCCTCTGTTTTGATTTGGATACCTTTTATTTCTTTTTCATGTCTAATTGCTCTGGCTAGGATTTTCATACTATGTCGATTAGAAGTGGTGAGAATTGTCATCTTTGCCTTTTTCCTGATTTTAGAGGAAAAGCTTTCAGTTTTTCACCAACGAGTATGATGTTGCCGTAGGCTTTACGTATATGGTTTTGACATGTTCAGGTAAAGTATTTACTAAGTATTTTCATCAAGAAAGGTTGTAGAATTTTGTCCAGTGCTTTTTCTGTGTCTATTGAGATGGTCATGGTATTTTATCTTTTAATCTGTTTTATTGTGTATTGCACTAATTGATTTGCTTTTTTTCAATCATCCTTGTATCACAGGAAAAAAAATCTCATTTGCTCATAGTGTAACTGAGGTGGAAGTTGGGACTCAACTCCAGAGGTGAGGCTTAGACACTAGACCAAATTGAGGACTAGCAAAAACAGGGCTGGTGTGGAAGCAGCTTTTCATAAGATGTCTACCAATGTGCCATGTCAGTTTACCATTGCTGTGACAATACCTGGAATTAATTGCCCCTTTCCATGACAACAACCTAATGACCTAGAAATTACCACTCTTTTCCTATAAATTTCTGCATACACTGCTCCTTAATTTGCATGTAGTTAAAAGTGAGTATAAATATGACTGCAGAAGCACCTTTGAGCTGCTACTTTGGCACATTGCCTATGGTGTAGCCCTGCTTGCAAAGAGCAGTAACTCTGCTGTTGCTGTAGACTGACACTTTAATAAAAGTTGTTGTTTAACACCACCAGCTTGCCCTTGCATTCTTTTCTGGGTGAAGCTAAGAACCCTCCCAGGATAAGCCCCAATTTTGGGGCTCGACGGAACTGCATCATAACCATCTATGTTAGGTAATTGGCTTTATATGGAGGAAAAACAAACTTCCTGTCTTTAGGACAAAAGGTAGTTTTGCAACTTGGAACAATGTCTCTACCACAATTAGGCTCCTACTTTCCCACAGAAACTGGGAGACAGAGGTGCAAGTTATTTCGATGTTTACATTATATAAAGATGGCTCCTATGTTCTTGAGAAAGGCATTCCTGGGTTATAAAGCTGACCAGAGTTTTCAAAAGGATTTATATACATTTCAGAGAGAGAATGTACTTGTAATTACATGTTTTCCAAAGTAAATGCTCTGAATAAAAGGAGGGAGGGAAATATTTTCTCTTATTATCAACAGGGAGAATTAAGCCTCTTATTTATTTATTTTTAGACAGAGTCTTGCTCTTGTCTCCCAGGCTGGAGTGCAATGGCACGATGTCAGCTCACTGCAACCTCCGCCTCCTGGGTTCAAGCAATTCTCCTGCCTCAGCCTCCCGAGTAGCTGAGATTACAGGTGCCTGCCACCATGCCCGGCTATTTTTTTTGGGGGTTCGCCATGTTGGCCAGGCTGGTCTTGAACTCCTGACCTCGTGATCCACCCACCCTGGCCTCTTAAAGTGCTGGGATTACAGGCGTGAGCCACTACCTCTAGCCTAACCCTCTTATTTTTAATTTTTGGTTTGTATTTGTCCTTACATAAGAAATAATACAGAGAAATCCTATGTCCTGTTTGCTCACTTTCCCCAAGTGGTAATATCTTAAAAACTCTAGTACATTATCACAACCAGAATATCGACATTGATAAAGTAAAGAAATAACTATAATGTAGTTCAGTGTTTTTAGTTGTACTTTGCAAGAAAAATAGAGAAACGACTCCATCTTTCTGGAAGTGAAAGTCCCATCCTTACAGTTTCTCTGATAGCCAATCAATAAACAAGGACAGATCTATGTTTTATTTATAGTCAATATATTCATGTACTGCCAATTATATTACAAAATAAAATATGAATTATTAGAGTTGTAGTTATGATTTTAATTAGGTGTGTCTCTTGTGTAAAGGCTACATTGGCATGAATAATACTGATATATTTTGTTGACATTTATGTATGTTAAATCAGTGTGTGATAGGGTTTTGCTATATGAATCAGTAACATTTGAAGGAAAAGTTTGAAGGTTGTCAGTATAGGTTGCTAGCCCTTTATTTTGAAAATTAAGGAAAAAGACAACAAGATTAAGGTAAACATCTCTATTATCATAATTTATTTCAAAAAAAGAGTATTTTTTATCAAAATATATATAGGCTGTATATTGAAAAAAAAAACCCTGATACTCATAGTATAGTGCAGTTAGAAACCTCATGCAGTCACAATTTTCCTTAAATGTGAAGCATCTAAAGTTTTAAATAAAGATAAATCACAACATAAGGTTTTGTGATAGTACATGTATACTGAAAAACCACAGCCTAAAATTTTATTCTATGGTTAATCATTGATATAGTAGCTGTCTTCTCCCAAGTTTTAAATGTGGTGATCAGTTTCTTGCAGTACAACATGAAGTACAGAACAATGTCCAGCCTATTTGTATTTTTATTTTATGGGCATTATAAACAATTCAATTTTACATAGGCATTTTGAAAAATTTGTAAGCACTACTGTCAAATTTATTTTATCGATTCAGAATATTATAGGAAAACTAAGAAAAATCTAAGATTCTGCCCTCTAGGCAACCCATGCCATTAGTTGATGACACCAGGTGTCTAGCTAGTGAGGATTATAGACAAGGATGATCCTTTTAATGTGCTGTTGAATTTGTTCTACTTGTATTTTGTTGAGGATTTTTACATCCATATTCACCAAGGATATTGGTCTATAATTTTCTTTTCCAGTTGTGCCCTTTTTGGCTTTGGTATGATGATAATGCTGGCTTCATAAAATGAGTCTGAAAGGTGTTTCTTTTTCTTAATATTTTGGGAAGAATTTAAGGAAGATTGATATTGCTTCTTGTTTAAATGTTCGGTAGCATTCATCAGAGAAGCCGTCAAGTCCCAGGTTTTTCTTTTTGATTACTGCTTTTGAGGTTGTTGATTACTGCTTCAATCTCTTATTCATTATTGGTCTGTTCAAGTTTCCTATCTTTTCATGGTTCAGCCTTAGTATGTTATATATTTCTAAGAATTTATCCATTTCTTCTGGGTTATTCAATTTGTTGGCTAAAGTTGTTCATAATAGTCCCTTATGATCATTTTTATTCCTGTACCATGACTTGTAATGTTTTCTCTTTCATTTATTATTTTATTTGTGATTTCTCTCTTTTTAAAATTAGTTTAGGTAAAGGCTTGTCCATTGTTTTATTTGTTCTTTGGTTCCTTTCTGTCTCTTTCTTTCAGTTGTTTCATTGAATTTTAGAGGTTTTGTTTTAACTTTTAATTGACAATAATTGCATATTATATATTTATGGGATACAATGTGATATTTTATATGTTTACATTATGGGAATAATTAAATCAGGTTGTTTAAGAAATCCAGTACCTCACCTACTTATTATTATTTTTGTGGTGAAAACATTTAAAATTTTGTCTTAGCAATTTTGAAATATACAGTGCATTATTATTATAGTCACTTTTTTCTACAGTAGATCATTAAAACTTATTCCTCCTGTCTAACTGAAATTTTGTACACTTTGATCAACATCTCTCCTTTCCACATTCTGTGTTGTGCATGGATTTATTTCTGGACTCTCAGTCCTGTTCCACTGGTCATTATATGTTGTTATGACAGTAACATGCTGTGTTGGTAACTGTAGCATTGTGATCGATTTTGAAGTCAGGTAGTGTGATGCCTTCAGCTTTGTTCTTTTTTGTCAAGGTTACTTTGGCTATATGGGATCTTTTGTGGTTCTATATAAAACTTAGGATTGTATTTTCTATTTCTGTGAAAAATGACTTGGAATTTTGATAGAGATTACATCATTTATGTAATATGGCCATTTTAGCTATATTCAATTTTCAGTCCATGAACATAGAATAGTTTTCCATTTATTTGTGTCATAATTATTTCTTTCATCAGTGTTTTTTTTTATTATATAGATTTTCCACCTTTTTGGTTAAATTTACTCCTTAGTATTTTGTGTTTTTTCATGTTATTGTGAATGGGATTTTCTTAATTTCTTTTTCAGATAATTTGTTGTTAGTGTAAAGAAATACTACTGATTTTTCTGTGTTGATTTTGTATCCTGTAACTTTACTGACTTTATCAGTTGAAATAGTTTATTGGTGGAGTCTAGAACTTTCTCTATATAAGATCATGTCATTGGCAAATAGAAACAGTTTCACTTCTTTCTTTCCAATTTGCATGCCTTTTATTTCTTTTTCTTGTCTAACTGCTCTGGCTAGAACTTGTAGTCCTATGTTAAGTAGAAGTGTGAGAGTGGGCATCCTTGTCTTGTTCCTGAATTGGAAGAAAAGCTTTCAGTATGATGTTAGCTGTGGGCTTTTCATATATGTCTTTTATTGTATAGAGGTATATTCCTTTAAAACTTAACTTGTTTTGAATTTTTATCTGGAAACTTTCTTTAATGTTGTTAAAAGCCTTTTTGGCTCCATTGAGTTGATCATATAGTTTTCATAATTCGTTCTGTTAACGTACTGTATCATCTTTATGGAGTTGTGTATGTTGAACCATCCTTGCATCCCAGGGATAAATCCCACCTACGATAAATTATTCTTTTAATGTGCTGTTGAATTCAGGCTGATAGTATTTTGTTCAAGATTTTTGCACCTGTGATCATCAAAGATAGCTGCCTTTAGTTTTCTTTTCTTATAATGTTTTTGTCTGGCTTTGGTATCAGGGTGTGTTAGTCAGGGTTCTCTAGAGGGACAGAACTGATAGGATAGACGTATAATAAAGTGAGTTTCGTATTATTGGATTGTGAAAAAAATGCCTCGGATAATGAGTTATATAACAGAGCTATATGTCTTCCTCTTATAAGAAGAGGGCTGTGGAGTCTCTGTTGAGGCCAGTGTTTTATTTCCAAGAGGAAGAGTATGAGAATGTAAACCTTCTTTGTGTGTGTAGCTGTGTGTGTTTGTATGTTTGGTATCCTTCATGCAAGTTGGATATTTATAGTCCTAAATTGCGGTTTTAGATTAAATTTATCTTAATATTATGTCAGAATATTCTGCCTACCGTACTCCCGTACTCATCTAATTTACTCTTGTGTAATCTCTGGAAAGTGTGGCTGTATATCATGGCTACTAAGATTTAATTATAACATAATAATTGAATTAAAGATGTGCAGTTGTTCAGATGACCTTTTTTCTTCATCACTTTCACTTGACAAGTGAATGTGAGACTGGGTGGTTGTGCTGGGCCTTCATAATATATTAAAACTTTCTGAACATTTTTATCAAAACATAGTTCATCTGCTTGGTGCCATAAATAGATGAAGTTACTGAGTGTTCTTTCCAGTACTGCTTCTCTGAAGTAGTTTAATAATTAGTTGATTTAGAAATGAGGAGTATTTCTATTCTATCATTTTCTACAAGATTTGTTCCTAAATTGGAAAAGTAGCTATTTTTCCAATTAGCTCAAGCATAAAACAAAGGAAAACTTTGAAAGACTTGATTGTGAATTGTTTTTCACTTTTTGCTTGGAATTTTAAAAGGAACAGTGTTTTCTGGTTTTAACAAATTTAAGTTTACACACTTTTTTTTTCAAATAACTGAAAATTTTCATACTTGGTGAATAAAAGAATAGTTTCCTAATTATAAGTTTATGAAAACTTAATACTGTATCATTATGTAAAAGTGCTTGGCTTCCGCATATTTGTACATGTACATTGTGCCAGAGGTTATTGTAATTAGGTTCATAGGTACTTTTGATAATCTAGTATTATTGATATTCAGAACGAGACTTTTTAGGACACAAGTTAAAATTCTTTAAAATGTAGCTGTTTCTGGGTGTATAACATCAACAAATATTATTAATAATTGTCTTTCCTCAAAATTTTACACCCCTTTGATAGGTATAGAATGATATGCACTGCACATTTTCCAAAGAATTAGCAATTATTTATTTAGTAGCATAAGACATTAGCTAAGATGTAAATTTTACTTCAAGTCAAAAAGATTAATCACTTGGTTGATAGCTAATACATTCCAGCATCCAGGAAATAACCAGTGTATTTCCCATAAGCTGAACTAGTCATAACATATCTGTAGATTTCTTATTATTTCCAGTTTTCACTTTTTATAATAGAGTGAACTAAAAACAGGAAAACTGCCTGAAAGTTTTTTGTTTCTGATTTTAAAAGTAAATTCTACTCATTGCAAGAAATTGGGAAAACCCAGAAATGCATAATACAGTTTTAAAAAATTAGATGATAATCATTACATTCTGGTACACTGTATTCTATTTTTTTCCATATATATATATATGCATATATATGCTTATGTTTTAATCAAATTGGTATTATGCTATACATATACCAAAATTGGTATTATACTATATATTACCCTTGATATATTTTCTGAACCTTGATATTTATATCTCAGATCTCCCTTATTTAACCATTTGTTCAATTTTATTCAGGTGTAAATCAAACACATGTCTGTGTCCTGTTCCTTCACGAAGCTTACTGTCTAGTGGGGGAAACATAAACATTTTATTTTTATTTTTATTTTTTGAGATGGAGTTTCACTCTTGTTGCCCAGGCTGAAATGCAATGGCGCGATCTTGGCTCACCGCAACCTCCGCCTCCTAGGTTCAAGTGATTCTCCTGCCTCAGCCTCCTGAGTAACTGGGATTACAGGCATGCGCCACCACGCCTGGCTAATTTTTTTTTTTTTTTTTTTTTTTTGAGACAGAGCTCACTCTGTTGCCCAGGCTGGGAGTGCAGTGGCGCGATCTTGGCTCACTGCAAGCTCCACTTCCCAGGTTCATGCCATTCTCCTGCCTCAGCCTCCCGAGTAGCTGGGGCTACAGGCGCCTGCCACCACGCCTGGCTAATTTTTTGTATTTTTAGTAGAGACGGGGTTTCTCCATGTTGGTCAGGCTGGTCTTGAACCCCTAACCTCAGGTGATCTGCCCACCTTGGCCTCCCAAAGTGCTGGAATTACAGGTGTGAGCCACCGCGCCCAGCCTACATAAACATTTAAATGTATAGTAGCAAAATATAAGTTTTATTAAGGGGGAAGACAGGTGCTATGAGAGAGACTAAGAATGGAGCACCTATTTCAGATTGATGTTTAGAGCTGACATGCTGACATTTAAGCAGAGGCTTAAAGGATGAGGAAAAAGTCAGCCATTCAAGGATGGGGTTAAGAACATTCTAGTAAGAGGAAATAGCAGGTGCAAAGGCCATGAGGTAAGAAAGGGTTTGGTGTGTAAAAGGGCCTACAAGAAGGCCAGGAGGCTGGAGCAAAGAGAAAGAAGGGATACTGCCTAAAATGAGGTTAGAGAGGAAAATAGGAGCCAGGACCTTTAGACCAAAGAAAAGAGATTTTATTATAAGTACTACAGGAAGCCATTAAAATTTTTTGGCTGGTGGAATGACATGGGCATGTTTACATTTTCAAAAGATTATTCTGGATGTCACATAGAAGATGAATTGGAAGGAGAATAAAAGAAGAAGAAGCAGAAATGTAAGTTAGGAGGCCCTTTGGGTAGACCATAAGAGGGAAGAAAAGCTTGAGTTAGGCTGATGATGGGAGCTATGGAGAGAAGTAAACAGCTGTGAGGCATGTTTTGGAGTTATAACTGATAACTTATGAGGCAGTGATGAATAGGAGTTGGCAGATTAAAAAGAAAGACTTGAGATTGATGACTTTCATTTATGGTCTGATTAATCAAGTGGATAGTGGTAACATTTATTGACAAGAAGTAAACTTGGTAAGCACCAGTATTAGGGTGATGTTTGTGATATAAAATAATTATTTTATGTTTGGATGATACTTTTGAGGGATCTATAAGACAACCACTTGTATAAGTTAAAAAAGCAGTTGTATGCATGAATACCCAGAAGTGAGTCTCAGAGCTGATGACATGCCTTTGGAAGTTATCATGTAGATGGGATTTAAAACCAAATAAATTATCCTGGTCTGTTTTGTGTTGCTGTAACAGAATACCTGAGACCACGTAATTTAAAAAGAAGAGAAATTTATTTTCTCACAGTTCTGAAGTCTGGGAAGCCCAAGATCAAGGCGCTGGCATCTGGTGAGGGCATTCTTGCTGTATCACATGGTGGAAGACGGAAGGGCAAATGATGGCCAAATGCTGTATGAAGCCTCTTTCATAAGGGCCTTCCTGCCATTCATGAGAAAGGTGCCCTCATGGCCTAATCACTTCTTAAATGCTCTATATCTTAATACTGTCACATTGGTAACACCTGAATTTTGGAAGGGATACATTCAAACTATAGCAGGAACAGATGAAATAACCTAATAAAAAGTGATTGTATAGAGAACAAGAGTGCCTTGAACTGAGCTCTGCCAATGAGATGTTGAATGCTTGAGAATCTGAGAAGAGGAGAAACACAGAGGAATGTGGTGTCAAAAGTCAGGAAAGACGGCTTCTAAAAAGAATGAGTGGACAGCTGTGTCACATGCTGCTGAGAGATCTGGCAAGATGAGGGCCAGAAGTGACCACTGGATTTAGCAATATGAAGGTCACTGGTGATATCATCAAAAACAATTTCAGGGCTGTGTGGTAGAAGACATATTGTAATGGATATAGTCATAATATATAGATGATTTGCTAAAACCAGGATTTTAATGGCTACAAATTAATCTTTACTAGAGATAGCAGAGTATACTCAGTCACTCCTATTGCTGAGGAGCCAGCATTCTATGAGAAATAGGCTTGTGTGTGTTTTAAGGGCTAATAGGCTCTGGGGAGTTGCTGGCTGCACCTCAATGGGGCTTACTGTGGGAAATTTCACTTCATTTTAAAAAATTCTCTCTGAGTGTGAGTTTGGGTTAAAAATCCAGATACTTGGGAATATGGGTACTGGCTGAGCCTCTCTTTGAGAGTGTTGTGCATTTGCTGCTTTAGTGCTCTCTGCTCTGGTTTGGAAACAGTTTTTCCTCCCAGCAGTAGGAACAGTGGGAGGGTGGAGGGTCCCTCTGGTTTATACTTGAACTTACTGACCTCTGCACAGTTCTCTTGAAGTACGCGAGCACTGCCAGCCCCTGGTTATTTGGGTATATACTCTTATTCCCACTCCCTTCAGATTAGAAAATTAAAATGGATAGGCTCATTGTTGTATCTTCTCCAGGGCCTATGTTTTACACTTAAATAGAGGAGAGTCCTAGAAAGAATGCAGATTTTGTAGCCAAAGTGACTTAGGTTGAAACTCTGCTTTAATTTTCTTATCTCTAAAATGGGGCTAGTTCTACCATGCAGAATTATAGTAAATATTGAAAGTAATGTGTGAAAAGTGCTTGGAACAAGGTAAATACTCAATAACTGGTGGCTGTAATTGATATTATTGTTTAAAGTAAATTCTCAATATTATTGAAATGTTGAATTAGTGACGTGGGTTATAATTTGTCTGTATGATATTGGTCTGTGATATAAAACATTGTCCAATGGCATAGGCCTCTGAAAATTTGTTCTTTTTGGGAGTGATCCATTGGAAGTAGCCTTAGTAAATCCTATGTCATCAATATTTTGTACTACAGTTTTATTATTACAATTTAAGAAAGCTTCACATTTTAATGGATTATCATAGTTCTTCTCTTTTCCTATTAAAAAGATAATATTTCATTGAACTTTAATAAAAGTTGGTTTGTGATAAGACAGCATGCTTCATTGCCTAATATTGCTCAGAACTGAAGTTAAAATTCTCTCATTAGAATTCCATGGGAGTTGGAAGGGAAGAATGTAAGCCAAGGATAGAAAAGAGATGTAAATTTTATATTTGTGCTCTATCTTTGGGAGAAGTGCCAAATGGCCTTCTTTCACATTGAAAGGAGGGAGGACTAGAAAGTGGAATATTTTTTCCTGTTTTCCACTTTTCTAAGCTAAAGTGCAGCATATTGCTTTAAAAGATGCAAGAAGTATAGGTCCCATTTTAGCTATCTAGATATGGTAAGAATTAAAACATGATTAATCAGAAACAACTGATTGTTGTGACATATGTGTGTAGGAGATTTTCAGAGCATTCTCCCCAAAACATGGCTAATAAACGGCATTGTATATGGGACTGTTATGTATAAAAAGAGGAGGAAGGTTATGAATACTATGATCTCTTCAATTATAAGAATATGTAGTGTCTGGCCTTCTTATATACAAGGTTAGGAAAATAATTTATAATACATTTAAATTTTAGGTAGAAATAACTTCTTTTCATTAAAAGAGGATTTAACTTTCAAGTAGGGAGAGGAGAAGGAGAAGCATTATGGTTTGTCATATGAATTTTGGGGAGAAGCTGATTTTTGAATGAACTCAGGGCTTATTTTATGATTTCCCTGAATAAATAAGAGAGGTGATTTTATCGCTAAAAAATTTCTATTATTTGGATATTTATTGCTTGTTTTTTAAAAGAACTGTGTGATATTAAGTACTATACTTGTAATAAGTAGCCGTACAAGGTTTAATTTTAAATTCTCTCTCTCTTTCCACAGTTTGGAAGAACTGAAGTAATTGATAATACTTTAAATCCTGATTTTGTAAGAAAGTTTATTCTGGACTACTTTTTTGAAGAAAGAGAGAATCTTCGTTTTGACTTGTAAGTTCTACTAAAACTTGCGTTTAGAAAAATTTGATTTTAAAGACAATATTACTAATGTAAGGCAGGGTCCTATGGTTGCACTGAGTTCTAGATTATATTGGCAGGAAACCAGATTAATTCTGTTCAGAGTGTGGCCCAAGCAAGCCCCCTGCTTTGCATTTTGTAGGTCTGAATACATGTTGAATGAATAGGTGAGCAGTTTAGCCATGCAGGACGGTGTATATGGACATTCTTCCCAACTGCCCTGTGCTTCAGTGGATTTCCTACAAGTTCTATGTATACTCCAAAGTTATCACATCCACTCCCATGGCTGATGTCTCTCAGATCTTAAGTTTGGCTCAGCAGCTTCTTAGCATAGCACCTGGATCTCTGCCTAACTATGGCTTCCATTCATCCCTTGGTAGCCTTGTATTTTTCCAAGGACCAGGATAATCGAGTCAGCATTTTAAATATGTTAAGTATTCTTGTTACTTTGATACTAAGTCTGGCATATTAAAACATTATTGTCAAATCCAAGTTCCTGTCCACAGAGAACCTAGAGTCAGCCTGTTTATATTATTATAGAGTTTTTTTTCCACAGAAGTGAACTGTAGTGATTGTTGAAGTATCTGGATATGGTTAAAAGGAAATCTGTTGTGGGCAGGTGGGTAAAATATGCTTAAAATATGAAAATAATTAAAGGAAATTCATGAACATTAAAAGATAAATGTCTTATTTTAAATAGCTGAAAATTCTGATGTACCATACTTTTACAATTTATAAATACTTTTTGATAACAAAAGCTATCAACATCTTATTTGAAAAAGTCATAATTTGCTTCATAATGTAAAAAATAACAGCTCTTTACTGTTACTAGTCTTTCTCATTTTCCTCTAAAATATGCATGGTAAAATAACCTGCAGTGCTTGTGTTTAAAAAAGATCTTATACTAGCTTCTTTCTTCAGGAATGTTGAGTATTCGTCATATTTATCAAACAAAATTTATTACATCCACATTTGGTTTTTTATTTTTTAGAAACTCCTTTGCAAATAGTAAAAATGAGGCTCATTGGAAGAGAAACTGAAATGAAATGTAGTAACTTCCTGATTATGTTTATTTTAGAGGCTGCACATAGCGTTGCCACTAAAAAACAGATATAAGTCATGTAGTATGTGGTTGAATTCTCCCATTATTCTGGGCCTTGGTAGCAATTGCTTTTTAAGAATTTTCTTTTACACCAGCATGGGACTCTTAATTTTTCCTGCTTAATCCCAGACTTAACTTTATGTTAAAACCAGCCTCTATTTCATGATTCTTTGTTCCCCCCTTTGTTTTTTCCTTTCTTTTTCTTCCTTTCTCATTCATCTGCATTGTTTTCACTGTTGAAAGTAATAAATATTTATTGCAAACTTTAAGTGATATAGACATTTAAAATGAAAGCTTCCTTTTATCCTAATACAAAAAAGCATTGCCTCCCCTCCCAAACCTGCAAATGACTCAATGTATATGCTGGGATTTTTTTTTTCTTTAAGCATACACATATGCATACAGGAATTGCAATAAATATATTTTCCTTTACCTTGTATTTTGCAGATATCCTTTTATGCCACAAAATATGCATATACCACATTCATTTTAAAGGTTATATAATTTCCATTGTTCAAAATAACTGTAATTTATTTAACCAAACACTTACTGATGGGCATTTGGCTGGTTCCATTTTTCCTACTACATATAATCCTGCAGTGAGTTTCCTTGGATGCAAATCTTTTTGTAGTATATATTTATGTATACTTTACGTTTTCAGAGGACAAATGACTTACAGCCAAATTTTAGGATTATAGGATGCAGACAGGAGTACCCACTGTCTGGTTCTAAATCTTTGAAATCAACTTGGTGTGAAAGTTAATTATATGAATTGAGTCATTCTTGTCATACTCAACTAAATCAGAGTCAACAGGCCAGGGGGAAAAAGCACTTATAGCACCTGTTCCAAGAATTGAATTTTCCACAAGGCCAGTTGCTGAACCGGTCCAATGTAACCCTAAAGAACAGTCATGACCTGCCATGACTCTAAGACTAGTTTTACCTACCACCATCACTCACCAATTGCCACTTTTGCCAGCTCCCAAAATCTTCTGTAGTGCCAATCAGTTTTCTTTCAAAACAATATATAGCTTTTCTCTTTCTAATAAAACTCCCAACCTTCTCTTAGTTTTTTGGACATACTGAATGAAAATCACCCTGGTCTGCATGTATATGCCCTGAATTGCAATTCTGTGCATCCCAAATAAAAGATTTAATTTAGAGATTCATCTGTGTATTTTATTTTGATTTCAACATTGGAGATCCTATAAGCTTTGTTACTTCCCTGAACTCCTCGTCTGTTATTTAGCTCTGATTTTTAGATCCATGTCCTGCTCTTCATTCATTACCTGATACTCAAAACTTGTCTGTTCCAGGAACATTTATCTCAGAGTGTCAGGAAACTATAAAGTAACATAAATTAATGTTAAGTAAATGGATATATTTTAACTTCCTAATTGAAGTTGAAGCAATTTTTACAGAAACAGTGTAACGTTTGAAATGGGAAAGCATATTGCAAAATGGAATTAAATAAGTATTGTTTTACCTTTTGCATGTATTTTGTTAGTTTCAGAAATTCAATTCAAAGAACATCTCCATTTTATATGATTGCTGAAAAGTTCAAACAATTAGGGCTAGAAAGGGTTACCTGCAGAAGATCATCAAGAGGAGTAACAAGTCCATCATCTTAGTTCATGTAGTGTCTTTGCTATCACTTTAATTCCTTTTGATTTTCCATTTTTTAGAATACTCACATAATAACCTTTAACCTGAAAGAACAGGCTTATTATTATTATCATCATTATTATTTTTGTGATTTCTTCAGGATATCTACATAAGTAAATGTGGAAATAGTGTAATAGTTCACGAGTTATATATATATATATTATACCTGTGATATTGGTTTTTAAAATTCTTAGCAATGTGTTATTCCTAGTAAAAGTAACATATTCATGGTAAAAAAATTGGAAAATAAAAAAGATTAAAGTAGGCAATACAAATTCCCAGTAGTCCCAACCTCTACTACCCAGAGAACTACTGCAAATATTCTGACATATTGGCAGTATCAGCCTTAAGTAAATACATACAGAGATTAATCTCTAAGAAAAGTGTTTATTTAGGAATAATATACAATAATTAGAATTGCAATTTGCACACGTACACACACGTACCAGAATGGTTTCTGGTGTGTTAGAGAACAAAAGGAAAGGCTGGAGTTTTACTGGGAAAAGAGAAAAATTACATAGGTTGTTTTGAAAGAAACTTTATTGATGCTGGTTGTGTCTTACAGAAGCTGGTGATCTCTGATTGGTAAGGGGTGGCAATTACTAGGTTAAACTTGTCTCAAAATCACAGCAGGTCCTTGAGGTTTTGGATTGGGCTTGTGAGACAGTTCTTGGAGTAGGTGTTTGTGACTCCCAAGTGATTTTCCCCATGGCTCTGCTGCCATGGGGAAAATCGGTCCTGATTCTGTTTTAGTTGGGTGTGACAAAAATGACCTCATTTTGTGTGATCAATTTTCACTGTAGTAATGTAGTTCGTTGAAGGAACAGCATGCTGAAAGATGCACTAGTGTAAATTGACCAACAGATAGATGTAAATGGTTTTCAGAATTGTTTTGGGTTTACTTAATGCCTGTTGATTTTATAAAAGTCTAAACAAGTTAAAAAAGAAGCTTTGAACATGTTTTATCTAAACTGGATATTATAACAGGTTTTAGAAATGGCTTTTATAAACTTAAAAAAATTTCAGTGCTGAAATAATTGTAACGACAGTGAGAGAAAAAGAGAGAGAAAGAGATAGAGACAACTTATTTCTGCTACCACTGACCCAAATTCTTATAAGTACTATAATAGTTAACCGATAATAATTTTTTTTATTGTTACTATGGTATGTCTGAGATATATTTTCAAGATTACCTTATCGGCTATAAGTCCTAAAATTCCCTTGCCTTTTTGATCTGGTATGTGCTTACTCATTCAGGAGACATGGTTTCTTTCATCATGCTATGTATATATCACAGAGAAAGTAATAAACTTTGACATTTATTTATTTTCATTATAATTATCACACTGATGATAATACAGGTTCCTAATAAATCCATTTTGTTGTCATGGTTGAAAACTTTATTATTGGTAGAGTAGCTGTACCAAAATGCGTTTGAGCAGGAAGTGTGGATAGCCTTATCACTTCGTAGTATGTGCCAGATAGAGGATAATTCAGAAATAACTCTTCTCATTCGTTTTTCCATTCAGATTGGAACACTAAAAAGGGATATCTGAGTCTAGATATGACTTACCTAGATAATTATTTTCTTTCTTGATAAATAAAATGGTAATAATCATGAAATGTATAATGTTATTATAAAATATTTTAGATGGATCTCAACACTTTGAGGAAAAATAAGTTGTTTTATTTCTTCTAGTAGTTGTCCCAACACCATGTCAACTGTGGTTTTTCCCATTGGTTAAGGGCTCCCTTAACAATGTCGAAGTCTAATTTCATGCCTTTCCAGTCACTTTTGTTTCTTAGAACCATCTTACTCTGTTAATTGTTAGGTACTTTTTATTTTAAAACCTTAATCTCAAACTTCATTTAAGACTTTTCCCTTGCACTCCCTTCAGCTGGAGCTATTGCCCAGCTCCTTGCAGGACAGAAGGGAGGTGGGAATGCAAAAAGGTAGGCGGTGTTGGGAGACAGAGATGGGGGTCTCCTACCGTCCAAAAAATCCAGACCTTATGTGGGAATCAGCCTCAGAGGACACATTTTAAGTACTTTGCTTGTCTTGTCCTTATGGAGGAGGGGCCAAAAAGGACATTATTCTATGTTTTTCGTCACTCAGAAAGCACTTTCTAGAACTTCCTAGTGAGTTTCTCTTTTATTGACAGCCCCAGGGTGGACTTGCAGCAGGGCCCCGTAGCTTACTGATGAACCAGATGCTGCACTCCCCTTCTTGCAGGCATCCCAGATACCTTGCAGGCATCCCAGATTTTGGAGCCATACTTTACTTGGCTTTGGGGAGTGGAAAGAACCTCCCTACTGCCCCCCAACAGAGAGGGAAAAGTCTTCACTTATGAATAGTGTGTTCATCACCTGGCCATGGACTGGTCCCCTGAACTTTAGGGAGAAAGTATGTGACCCTAATGTGATTGATTCAGTAGCTCTGAGCTAAGCATGATCACATATTTTGTTTTTTTTCTTTGGGCCTTAGTTGCAATTCCAGAAATACAAGAAAAATTTCCATCAATATCTGTTACTCTTGAATCAAAAACGTAATCCTAAGGGGCACCCAAATCAGCTACTGCCAATTCATTACTGTAGTAATAAGGTTTCAATGGCAGGATGAAGTTGTTTGCAAAATTTGTTACTAAATTTAGGCACAGTGGATGCATCCTCTTAGGAGAAACTACCAAGCTTCCTCCATGATCATATATTCTGTCTTCCTTAAAGAAAGTATGGAACTTATAAACAGATACACAGGTACACGTATACATTGTAACCAGTTAGGATGTAGTGTTTATGTTATGACCTGTGAGAGTGGGACTGGAGAAGTCTTGATATATTTAGAAAAGTTAGAAGAAAAATTGTGTTAAAAGAAAGATGGTAATTTTAGGCTAGGCACGGTGGCTCACGCCTGTAATCCCAGCACTTTTTGGAGGCTGAGGGGGGCGGATTACTTGAGGTTAGTAGTTCGAGACCAGCCTGGCCAACATGGTGAAACCCCGTCTCTACTAAAAATACAAAAATTAGCCAGGTGTGATGGCGGGCACCTATGTCACCCCAGTGACTCTGGAGGCTGAGGCAGGAGAATCACTTGGACCGGGGAGGCGGAGGTTGCTGTGAGCTGAGATTGCACCAGTGCACTCCAGCCTGGGCAACAGAGTGAGACTCTGACTCCAAAAAAAAAAAAAAAAAAAAAAAGGAAAAATGTTAATTTCTAATGCTTTATAATCTAACATATTGTATTATTGTATTCAGGTATATCATGTAAATTACCTATGAGATAATGGTATTTAAAAAGCTTTGTAAAATACAGTGAAAGAGGATTGTATTTGAAGATACTTAAGCTTTTTGTGATGAAAACATTTTCCTTTTACTTCTTAATTGAACATTCGATGTCATTTCTCCCCAGTCCACACTCGGTTCTTTTTAGAAGATAGTTTCCAGAGTTGATTTTTGAGAAGGAGCTAGCACAGCTATGTTTCATCTCTGATATTGTTTAAGTTGCTAATTTCAATCTTACCTTTAAAAAAATTTTCTTATATAAGAAACATTTCTTGGATAAAAAAATGTATTTTTTTGTACTAGCAACTGTAGTTCTACAGTAAATGTTGGCAATTTGCTGATTTAAAATTCCAGGCTATAGCTGTTGAAAGTGCTCAGAATGCCTTGATGCGAAGGAGAGTAATTTGTAATTCTTCTGAGGCAGGTTTTTGCATCATGCTTTTTTTTTTTTTTGCTATTGTAAAATTTAATTATTAAAGTATGAAAATAAATTCATTTATGTAGGTAAACAGGTCATAATGAGTGTGTGCTGTTGGAAGAGAGAGGCAATTAACTTCCTCCTTATTTAAAAAATAATAACAAGAAGTCATATTCTCTGCATTTAATCCTTCATCTTTCTGCTTCTCCCTGTGGAAAGGAAGTCACAGGACTTCTGGAGGAGAGACTATTTTGATAAAGACAGAAAAAGCTCTAAATATTTTAAGTTTTATCATGGACATTTTCAAGCAGATTCAAAAGTGGCATGTATGTATTGCCAGTTTTGGTTCATTTACTTTCTCCAGGTTATTTATTATATACTTATTGCTGAATCACTTTAAAGCAAATCATTTCACCTACCAATACTTCAAAATAAAGCTCTCACAGATAAGGATGCTTATTTATGAACCTCCTGTTTGTTTGCTTGTTTTTATAAGACCACCACGCCATTGTCCAGCCTTACCCCAAATAACTACTTACTGGCAGCTAACATTCAGGCCATTTGGAAATTTCTCTGATTGTCTTAAAAATGTCTTACAATTAGTTTAAGTCAGGCTCCAAACAAGAGTCACACATTGTATTTTTCTCCTGTGTCTCCTGTATTCTATAATACTTTCCTTCCCTTTTTTAATACCAGTTATCTGTTGATGAGATTCATAATATTTTTTAAAAGAGAAGGTGAGGCAAGAAATTCGATCTCTATAGAGTGGCTCTGTGTGTTCTCTCTCACATCCCATCACTTGGAGTAATGCTAAGATTGTTCAGGTGTTGTCTGCCTGATTAGAAAAGACCCTGTCCTTTCACCTCAAAGCCTTAGTATCCCTGGATGATTATTACCTAGAACCATTGCAATTCTAAAGCTAGTTTATGGTAAACATTCTTTGCTAGAGAGTGAATGGACCCTCTGCCTAGCATCCGTATACTCAGTGAACTTTTAATGATTGAGATGTTTTCTTTATTTGTGAGAACATTCTTATGTGAGAGAGGAGACTTTAACCTTTAAAGAGGCAGTTAATTTTTGGTAGGAGGTTATTCACAAGAAATTTGAAATGAATATGATTTGGGAGAAAGACTGTAGTCAGTACAAATATTTTCCTATACAAGAATTTGGCAAATTGAAGGTATTTTGACTATCAGTGTCCTCTCTACTTCTACAAACTCTTTAATGCCAGGGGATAAAGTGATAATGAATGATCGTATTGCAGACTCTTTCCAAGAACTGATTAATTTCCAGTACCAACTGGTCAAAACCAGAACATATGGTAGTCTTATGTAAATATGTTTGTTTCCATAAAATGTATGTTTTCTTTAAGTTCTGTGATTAGGGAAAAATAATGTCTCATTACTGCAGCCAATTTAACAATAGCATTTAAGATATTAAGTAAAAATTAAAATGTGTGCTAAGGACAACCTGTTACCAGGATCTGTTTGTTAAATAATTAATTTGATTTTTAAAAATATTTTATTTTGAGATAAACATAGATTCATTCACGTGAAGTTGTAAAAAATAATACAGGAATTATACAGAGAGACTTGGGTATCCTTTACCTAGGTTCCCCCAGTAGCAACATCTTGCAATATCACAAATAGGATATTGACATTTATCCTGGCAATATACAGAACATTTCTATCACCTCAAGGATCCCTCATGTTGCCCTTTAAAATGATGTCCAGAGAAGAGGGCTTTTCAGTTTTTAAGGAATTTTGAAGTAAGTTGCACAGTACTGGGATACTACTGATGCACAGAAAAGAGAAGGTTTAAACTTATGCACAGAAAAGAGAAAGTTTAAACTTATCAAAAAGTAGAATTGATTATTGAGAAAATATTAAGGCTTGTTAGGTGTTTAGAAATGAAAGAACCCAAGGATCATGAATTCTACCACTGGCATGTAAGCCACGGAATATGTGAAACTTTAAAATTTGCTAAGTTTTTCTTCCTATTGGTATTATTTTGGATTCATTTTTATATTATTTATGTGTTTTGGAAAATACTGGTTTTTTTTCTAGCTGTATTTTGTGGAAATAATTTGAGTTTTATATTTCAATCTTTTAGGTATGATGTTGATTCAAAGAGCCCCAACTTATCCAAACATGTAAGTTCATATTTTTATGTTTTTATAACATTATAATACAATGATTAGTACTTATGCTGACTTATTAATATTAAAGTTATACATCTATTAAGTTATTCATGTAACGTGATTGTCATAGAAAATAAGTAACATTTTAAAAGAACCCCAGAAAAACATTTTGGAGGAGCTTATTAAAAACGTTACCTTTAGTAAGTAAAATGGACTAATCTTCCTTTTAATTTTTAATCTTTATTTTTTCAGTAAATGATGATTACAGTTCCCAGTGATGTTTGAAGTTAGATCAGGTTAAGCAAGATGAAATTGCAAGTGTCTTTTTGCAAGGTTTAACTTCTAAGAGAATGGGAAGTAGCTGAGTGTAGGCAGAGTGGTTTGTTATTCTGTTTTTTTTTTGTAGTTTGTTTATTTACCAATATTTCCTGAATATCTATATATGCCAGGCATTGTGCTAGTTTCAGAGGGCATAATATGGGCATGATAGACATAATCTCTGTCCTCAAGTCACTTATAGTTTTGTTTTCTTTTTTGGGTCCCTCCTTTGGTCTATTCCTCTTTTCTCAAGAGCTCTAGTTGCCAGGTAACAACTGTTACCTGGGGAAATTTCCAGGTCCAGGAGTAGTTGGGCATCAGAGCTAGACAGAAAAGAAGTGTAGATGGGAAGGGAGGAATGAGAGTGAGATACTCCAGCGAAACATTGTGCTAATCCATCAACTTGTTTATTGACCTGTGAAATTGGAATTAGGCCACCCCCAGTAGGAAGGGCTGAATGAGGGTGAAAACAGCATTCTGAAAGGAGATAACTGAGGTGCCAAGTGAAATCTGGGTACACAGATGTAGAATTAGCAGTTGTGTCAGAGTTAGGAGGCTGGCTGGACTAACAGTTCCCAGAAATGTAGGAGGGTGAGATTTTTTAACTTTTCCACTGTTGTACGCTGTCAAACTAGAATAGATGGGCATGTGATTTCCCATGAAGTTTGGAGAAGGGGAGTGTAATAATTCGGAAAAGAGATGAGACAGAAAGGGGGATTACGAGCTAGGAAACAGATTTGGAAAATCTGGGAGCATGGATACGTATGGTGGTAAAAATCACATTTACTGCTGCCCCCTTCATTGAAGGAGGTATGAGATTTATTTGTGTTATGAAGCATACAGCAGAATCATGTGAAGAAGTATTCAGGAACAGTCTGTCTAAGTGATTTACCTCTTTACAGGTTGAAAAAAATGCTGCAACAAGCTTATTGCTCTCCATAAGTAAAGTTCATTGTGATTGCCATGCCACCTTCCTGCTCATGATTAAGGTTTATAGCATTGTGACTAGACATTTACAATTTATTTGCATAGCTTTATATTGGAAGTTTTGCAAATGTCCTAAAAAGAATCAGAAAAGAAACTGCATTTTATAGTCAAAGTTATTGAGTTGTAAGGAAAGAAATGTATTCACTTCTCACACATAGGTTGTTGATTAAAGGGATTATGAGCATGTCATAAATGTGAAGTGTAGGTTGGCTTTATGGGAGCTGGCACTGGAAACAGGGTGGTGAGTTGTGAGTGAGATAGCTATTCTCTCCATTTCTCTTTCTCTCTCTCAGGCCACATATTCTTTTTACCATGTCTTTTCTCTGAGCTTCTGCTTCTCTTTGAAGACCAAGTTTCTCTGTTTAGGGAAATGACCTCACCACTTCTGACTGGACATAGACTTCCAAGTACCACTCTCCCTGAATATAGTTTCTGTGTTTCTTAGTTCAAACTACTCTTCAAAGGGCGTAATAACTGGCAGGTAAGGACATTTCCATGGGGTTGGATATTTTAAGTGAAGTTGGGAACATGTGTTTCCTATCAGTGGAGTTGCCTTAAGTACAGGGCAGAGAGAAGTGTATGGGATAGGAAGGTACCTTAAACATGGCTAATTCTTTTCCCTTTAATAGTCACTAGTGACTACATTTTATTATATAAGAGATACTCCTCCTAGAAATCATAAATGTATATTTCCTTTCAAATCTTTCTCTTTTGTAGAAATACTTTTATTTTCATAAGAAAATTTTATCTTCTCATCGTAAGAAATTTTATCTTGACACTGCTTTACCCTCATGATACCTCTTTTACTATCTCCTCATCAGGTTTTCAATTCTGCTTAAACTACCCTGACATAGGTTAGATTAAGATTGAATGTCTTCTCTTCACTCTTTACCTCATAATCTCTCTCTCTCTGTTCCAAATAGGATTGACTACTCCGTTCTTGAAACATTCATTTCTAACTTCCACAGAAACCTCTCCCTTGCTGCTTCTCCAGCCTCCCTGTTTACCCATTATCTGTCACTTTAAGCTTTATTTCCTCCTCTTATCCCTAAATATTATTTTTTCTCATAACTTTATTTTCAATTTTTATCTCATCTCACTATATAAACTGTTTTTGGGAGAGCTCAACCATGTCCCTACCATACCTGATGACCCTCAAGTGTTTATCCCTCTGGATACCTTAGCAAATGCAAGTTTCAATTGCTTGTTAAGTATTTCCTAGTACATACTCCACAGAAGCCTAAAACTCAAGTAGATCTAAAATTTATGATTTTTTCCTTCCAGATCATGTGCTTCTGCTTCTGTGATTTATCTTGAGAATAATTCATCAACACAGTTTACTCAGTTAGAAAATTTGGATGCATGGTTAACCACTTTCTGTGTCACGTTTGACTTTTACTGAGCCACCAAGTCCTATTCCTTCTAACAAAAAAATGCTTCTCTTTCTGCCTTCTTCTTTCCCTTCTTGCTGTTATTGCCTTAGTTCAGATTCTCATTACTTTTCTACCGATATATTGCATCGTCTCCTGTAGGTCCCATGATTTATATTATTTTACATTTTAAGCTATCCTTTATATTTGTGTCTGTGTTATATTTTTAAAATATATTTAGTCGACTATACAGATTAGTTAATAAGTGCCTGAGCTTATAAGTAGGTGAAGGATGTCGAAAGAGAAGAAAAATGTGTTTTTGAATTGTTATAAGAACTGTTAGAGATGACTATCTAGATTTCTGTTAGAAATTTATAGCAAAAGCTATTCCTTAATTGAAAGCATACAAGTACAGATTTTAGGTAAAGACGCATATAGCTCATCCAACCCAAAAGAAATTCATGAGGATTTTTGAAGATCAGACAGAATCAATGAACAAGATAGGTTTATTCCCTGAGGATATGATTCATTAAGACTGTTGTTGTCTACCTGCCAATTTTGCAAAGTGAAATAAATATGAACTGGAACCTTGTAGGAAAAACTGCTAAGTGCCCAGGTTGCATGTGGCATAAAGGCACTTACTTATTTTTTTATAAAAGGGATTTTGTAGCAAGAGAGACCCCTTGAATTAGTAATAATAATTTTTTTTTTCCATTCTCTTTTCCGATAATTTTGAAAGAATTTTCTCTCAGGATGACTTTATTTGGTGTTCGGTACTTAAGACTCTTGGGTCAAATTCCTGTTTTTTGATACTGTTAGGGAAAATGGAGATAGAATATAGAACTGCACCTTAGATTTCTAACATTGCAAATAAATATGACATAAGACGTAAATGATCATAATTACTTTAATTGATTCTATTTGTGGTGGAAACGTGTTTTAGTGAAAATCATTGTGCACCAGACAAAGACTTATGGAATCTAGGGACATCTTTTTTAGAAGATTTATTCTGTTTATGATTCTCTGAGGAAATAGCTTTACTAAGATATTTTTCCCTATACTGTTAGGCCCTGTGAACAAAATATGGCATTTTGAATTCTGAGTTTGTTCTGTAAGGTACTAGTGAACCTACTCAACTAAATACTATTAGCAGAACTACATAGCATACTTTCATTTGCATAATTAAATTGCATAAGCCAAATCATTAATGAAAGGATTAATGACAGGCCCATAATTGGTGTGTACAGGATTCTGCTTGGGATGTTGGACCAGATAACATAGAAACTGTACTCTATATACTAAATTTTCATACAGACAAGGCAATCCAAAATACATTTATCCACTTGGTTGGTTGCGGAAGGCACCACTAAACTTTTTGTTTCAGACGTATTCATGGGTCACTGGATTATTTTGTACACTAGATACTAGACTTCAGTGAAGGTGTATATTTTTTAATACACTTTCTAAATATTATAAATATAAGCTTTCACATACAGATCAGTTATATTTAAAAATTTTATTTGAATATTGTTTGGACCATGAAATGGATTTTCTCATAGAAACAGATTTTTAAGTGGGGCAAGATTCTTTCATTAGAGTATAAAGCTAATTTAACGTATATATAGATGAACTAAATTCTAAAGTATTAATATATATTCATATAGGCAGACAGGCAATAAATATAGGACAGGCACTTGTCATGCTGGGGAATATAGCAATGAATAAGACAAACAAGGCCTCTCTCCTAAAGCAGCTTACATTTTGGAATTGAAGAGGTGAGGTAAGCAGATTTACTCAATGAACATGAATACAATAAGTGATTAAGATACTTGACTTTCTTTATGGCACTTAAACTAGTAAGACATTGACACTGGGAGAGAGTGACTGGAGAAGCACCAGTAGTCAGAAGCTGAAGTTTCCCTAAACCAACCAGCATGGTTCTATGCCATTTATCACCTTGGGTGTATATTTACTGAGGAGAAGGAGGGAATGATTGAAAATCTAGGAGAACAGCATCCCAGGCAAAAGGAAGAACAGTCCAGTGGCCTTGAGTCAAGAAAGAGTCTGGGGCCAGGTGCGGTGGCTCATGCTTGTAATCCCAGCACTTTGAGAGGCCGAGGTGGGCAGATCACGAGGTCAGGAGATTGAGACCATCCTGGCCAACGTGGTGAAACCCTGTATCTACTAAAAATACAAAAATTAGATGGGCATGGTGGCACATGCCTGCAATCCCAGCTACTCAGGAGGCTGAGGCAGGAGAATCGCTTGAACCAGGGATGAACCAGGGAGGCGGAGGTTGCAGTGAGCCGAGATTGTGCCACTGTACTCCAGCCTGGTGACAGAGTGAACTCCATCTCAAAAAAAAAAAAAAAGTTTGGAATGTTGGTGTGACAGAAAGTTGGCTACCATATGTAAAATATTATGAGTGATGAAGGGAGTGTACTGAAATAGTTCGGAAACATACATAGGAATCAGATGATGGAGAGATTTGGAGGCCACAGTTAAAAAAAGAGTTTGGATTTTTCTTTTTTTGGATGGATATCACTGGAGGATGATGTGATCTGATTTATGCATTTAAATGGTGACTGTGACAGTTGAAGTGGAGAATGGGGTTGAGGAAGCAAGACTGGAATTAAGGAGGTCAGTTATAAGGCTGTTGTAGTTTGACTGGGTGAGCAACCTTTGGTGGTTAAAAACCATTGAAGTGGTAAGACGTGGTCAGATTTGGAATATATGTTGGTAGTATGACTGATGATGAATTGGATGTCCAGTGTAAAAATAAGAGAAGTTAGAGTGGCTACTAGGTTCCTGATGAGAACAAATGGGTAAATAGTGATGTGGTTCATATAATGAGGTACATTGGGGAGAAGGAGATTGAGGCAGGGGGGTGAGGATTGAGAGACCCATGGTAAGGCCAAGTTCATGTTAAATTTGAGACCCCCAGTAAGCATCCAAATGGAGATATTGATTAGGCAGTGTTTGAAGACTAAGATATAGATTTACTAACCATCAGCCAATCAAGTTGGAACTCAGAGTTATCTAAGAAAATGCAAATGGAGAAGAGAATAGGATAGAATCTTGAGGGAAGAAGAGTAGCTAGAATGATCATTTTAAAAGCCAGCTAGGACATGTCGCTTTCCAGTTTAAACCCTCCAATGGCTTTCATCCACACTTGGGATAGAAATCAGTCCTTGATATAGCCCCTGGTTACCTCCTCTCCTGCCATTCTCATCATTGCTCACCCTGCTCTAACCTGCTGTCTCTCTTGCTTTTCCTTGAGCACCCAAATACTTGTCTCAGGGACTTTGTTCTTGCTTTTTCTCCTATCTGTAATGCTTCTGCCCCAGATATTCACATGGTTCCCTCCCTCACATGATTCAGGTATCTACTTGAATAGATAACTGCAAGGACTTACCTGACTGCCCTGTGTAAAAGAGCTCTTCATGTTATCCTTTGATAATTTTTAAAAATTGGTGGCCGGGTGCGGTGGCTCATACCTGTAATCCCAGCACTTTGGGAGGACAAGGCGGGCAGATCACGAGGTCAGGAGATCGAGACCATCCTGGCTAACACGGTGAAACCCCGTCTCTACTAAAAATACAAAAAATTAGCTGGGCGTGGTGACGAGTGCCTGTAGTCCCAGCTACTCGGGAGGCTGAGGCAGGAGAATGGTGCAAACCCAGGAAGTGGAGCTTGCAGTGAACCGAGATCGCTCCACTGCACTCCAGGCTGGGCAACAGAGCAAGACTCCCGTCTCAAAAAAAAAAAAAAAAGGTTAATTTCAGTCACTGATCATCTACTTGTTGAAAATTTTCTTTCAGTGTCTTATTTAACTGCCTTCATTTGGACTGTTAGAAAGCCAAAGGTATCTTTTCTTTTCTTTTTTTTTTTTTTTTTTTTTGAGATAAGGTCTCACTCTGTCGCCCAGGCTGGAGTACAGTGCCACGATCTCAGCTCACTGTTACCTCTGCCTCCGGGATCAAGCGATTCTCCTGCCTTAGCCTCCCAAGTAGTTGGGATTACAGGCACACAGCACCATATCCAGCTAATTTTTGTATTTTTAGTAGAGATGGGGTTTCACCATGTTGGCCCGACTGGTCTTGATCGCCTGACCTCAAGTGATCCGCCCGCCTCGGCCTCCCAAAGTGCTGGGATTACAGGTGTGAGCCACTGCTCCTGGTGTAGCCAAAAATATCTTAAAAACCAACAGTTGTGCTGAGGGAAAAGAAATGTACACATTCAAGGATAGGGTATAATTTTAGAAATTGTATTTGTAATTTAAATTTAGAACTTTGTATTATCTCTCGGAGGTTGGATTTAGCATTTTGGTTTGTAGATGGATCTATCCGTTAAAAAGACAAATTCTTGCTTTTTTATAATATTAAAATGTGAGAAATTGTTTCTACTAAAATATTGAATCAAGCCCGGGTGCAGTGGTTTATGCCTCTAATCCTAGCTCTTTGGGAGGCTGAGGCAGGTGGATCACCTGAGCTCAGGAGTTCGAGACCATCCTGGCCAACATGGCGAAACCCTGTCTCTACTAAAAATACAAACATTAGCTGAGAGTGCCATAAATATTTGGGGGCAAAATGTACGGTACCTGTAGAGGCCTCCATTTAAGTCGTATGTACATTATACTCACCTGAATTTGCAAGAGCAACAGGCCGAGGTCTTCTATAGCCTTACACTTCCCAGCTTCACCTTTAAGGGAGAGGCCTGGGAAGTGATCTGGCAATACTGCCCTGTATGGCTGTATGTCCAGCTTACTGCCACAGTACTGTTTTCCTTCTCAGCAGATGTCTGTGCTTTTCATGTCTGCCATTATGGGCCTGTGTTGATTCTTCAGCAGTCCCAGTTTAGCTAATTGGGTGATTGCATTGCCCTGCGCTGGTGGAGCTGGAAAAGGAAATGACTTCTGACTTAGTTTTCTCCTGGGGCTTTTTCTGTAGAGTCCAGTGGTGTATGTCATAGTGTATGTCAAGCCACACACCCTTTCCCGTGCTTCTTGTAGGTATGAAATCGTCCTCATTACCTAGCACTCAGGTGTTTTTAATTCAGGGGTTTATCAAACCAGTCTAGTGGAGTTCTGGCCAATCAGCTAGGACTAGCCAGAGCTGGTTGACACCAGTGTGTGTGTGGCCTTTGATACAGAAATACACAGATTCACGTCATAGCTTTTTGGTGCACGTTTTGTTGATTTTGTTCAGCCAAGATGATTGTTCATGTGTTCTCTTGTATTTGTTAGTGTGTCTCCATATTAATATGATCCTGCTCAATATTTATGTTTTATTCTCTTGAGCAATTTCAGCACAGATGGCTTTTACTGAGACTCGCTACTCCATTGGCAAAGTCCATTTAATATGTAGTATTTGCAGGTGCGCATAAGCATAACTATCCTTAGAAAAGAATTCTGGAATCGCCCTTGTGTGTTTTTTTGCTGCTGACTCAGAAGAGCAATGATACATTTCAGATCTTCAGTTTTCAGTTCTTTCTAGCTGTCATGAGACTTAAAGAAATTTAGGTTTATTAAAATTCCATAAACATTTGTAAAATCTGTTTTGATATTGATAAAGAAGTGCCATTATGAAAGGTGTTTAATTTAAATATGGGAAAGCTTTATCTTAAATTCTCTTTATGTATTTGAAAACAAATTTAAAGTGATTTGCAGTTTAATGAAGGTATGGCCATGCCGGCAGTATCCAAGTATCAGATGTGGGGTTATTTTTTGTCTCATGTGCAAGTATGGTTTTCACCAAATCCTGTCATTTTTCTGTGTGGTACTGTTTGGGGCCTTAACACTTTGCCTCTTATTAACTACCATAGCCTTCTGATTGATCTGGCTTCTAGTTTTTTTCCTCATTCCTGAAATCACTCTGCAAATAGGCACTTGAGTAATCTTCTGAATACACTGCTCTAATGGTGTCCCTGAATTGGTGAAAGGCTTCTGGTTGCTTCTGATGACCCTAAGACAACTTTTGTGTCTGGTCATGAGGGCCCTCTCTGGGCTTGGCTCTTCATCTCCATTTCTGCTTTTTACTTGAGTCCTTCTCTTTTCTCATTATTCTCTGGCCTGTAACTCTGTTCTGTAAATCTAGAATGTCCAATTATCTTCTCTCCAAGCAATATCTGATCTGATTCCTTACTGGCTCTCAAGAAAGTAATTCCTTTGGGAAAATGTTCCCTTGACTATGCTAGTCTACAGATATCTTTTCCTCCTCTTTTTAATTAGGGCACTTCTCACCCCCACTTTCCCCACCTCCAACACTGAAGAACATAGTTTTTACTTTTGTGGCTTGGTAAGCTTTTTTGTGACTGGGTCTCATTCCTTTCATTAGACTAGAAGCAGAGAGGCAGCATGGCTTGGCATAGTGATTAGGTGAGTAGTAAGCCTTGGGTTTAGACTTGGGTCCAAATTGTAGCTCTGAGCAATTTACTATCTCTGTGCCTCAGTTCCCTTATCTGAGAAATGGGGCCAATACTAGTTCCTCACCATAGGTTGGCTTTTTTCTTTCATCTGAGAACAGTCATTTCTCTGTAAAACTACTAAACTAAATAGATTTGTTTATTTAGTATACTGAACACATTTTGTTTGCCATTAATCCTCTCTGTCCATCCTTCTTAGGAATTTTCTTGGTCGTGTTCAGTACACAAACAATTTAGAGAGATCTCTCACCTTGTTTTAGAACAGGGCAATTCTTTGAACACATACAGGCTAAGCTAGAAGGCACGTGTCTTTCCCTGGAACAACTTCACATTTTCTTGACCTACATATCCAGATGGTGTTGGTGCCCTTATTTTATAGATATATGAGTTTGCACTGTACTTATGGTATTTAAATTCTTATGTGGCATATCAGTCTGGAATCAGAACATCAGAGTTTGTCTTGGCTCTGCTATTTATGGAAAATCAACCTTCTAGAGTTTTAGTTTCTATTTTTTAAATTAAATTAAATTAAATTAAAAATTTTTGTGAGTACATAGTAGGTGTATGCATTTATGAGGTACATGAGATGTTTTGATATAGGCATGCAATGTGAAATAAGCACTTAGTTTCTTTATATGTGAAATGCAGTGTTAATATCAGACCTCTCATTTACAGGGTTATTCTGAGTCTTGAAAATAAGAATCATACGGTTGTATGTTAATGAACGTTATAGTATATTTTACTTAACCCATTTTTAGGCACTTACAATATGCTAGTATTAACTCATGCAATAACTAATTGAACCCTCAGAACAATTTTGTGAGGAGGTACTAATACATTATAGAGAAGAGCAAACTGCAGAGCTTAATTAATTGCCTACAATCACAGTTAGTAAGTGGTAGTACTAGAATAGACACCTGGCAGGTTGGCTGTGGACCCTAGTTGAGGCTACTGCATCACATGACCTTTCTCTAAGTGTTACTGGGATTAGCCACCTCTGCTGTGGGCTTTCTCATTTTGTCTCCTCAGCCAACAATTCCAGTAATTCAGAGGCATCCGAAGTTAAGCCAATTGTGCATTCAAAACCTCCAACTTTTGTCTATTTTGTATTGTAACTTAAAACATAAAAAGAAAACAAATGCAATGCCTGTGAACTCAGAATAACTGCTCTGTGATTAAAAACACAAAATGCTGTGCAAACATGTGAAAGTCACATGGTAAGATTAATGCATATTGAGCTTATTTTACTTATTGTTGGAAGTTAGAAATGTCAATATTTCAGCAATGAAAACAATGCAGATGTATGATGTACAAAACATATACTGTAAAGATAGTTTGGAAACTTATGAGCTTTAATCTTTTTATCTATTTCAGGACTTTCTGGGACAAGTGTTTTGTACATTGGGAGAGATCGTTGGTTCACAGGGAAGTCGCCTGGAAAAACCAATAGTGTAAGTATTTTTTAATTCAGACAATGAAATGCCAACTTTAACAGTTTCTATTTTGTCAGTTTGGAATTGGTGAATGCATGGTTGTGGAGCAAAAGTGGGTTTTAAAATCTTGTTTGAGTTTTTTCTTTTAACAAATAATTTTGACATATTTTTAAAGAATAATTTCTATGTCACCTGTCATATGCTATGCTAAAAAATTTTCACAAGATGAAATGAGCAAATTTAAATAAGGAAATGTGTTGTTTTTCTTTTGGTTGTACTATTAATTATCAGATTTCGTACTTCTTGAAAAAGAGATTTTACTCTTTTGGGTTAGTAAATATATGTAGTAAACTGCTGTTAATACCATGTATTTCATAAATGCACTTTTGGTTATTGAAATTTTCATAATAATTTTTACCATGGAAGTGGCTTGTAGAGAAAGCTGTAAGTAGGTAAATATTGGGAGAAGGTAATCACTAAGAATGGTCTATTCCATCTTCACCTTCAATTACTAGGATCATGTTTAGTTTTCATGTCAATTGCATGAGTTGATTCTGTTTCCTCCAGTTCCAAATAAGGCAGGGAGCAAATTTTAGAAATTTTTCATGGCTTTATTCTCCTTTCCTCCTTCTTCCCCTTCCCTAATCCTGATTATTTGGATTGACTTAACTGTTCATAAAATTCAGAAGATCTAGAAAGAATAGTACATTTGCAGAGTTAACCACAATCTCAAAAGCTTTAGGGAATTTTGAAGTCTTTATCTTCATCAACCTTTTAAGAATCTCAAACTCAAAAAATAAATATTCCAATACTCCATAAATCTGTTTATTTCTGACATAAATACTTGAAATGGCAAGGCATTATTCTCACATTTCTTATATAAAATTAAACTTTTTATTTAGTGTGTTCATTGCTATGCAAGAAATTATTAGGCTAATAAGAATTCTATAAATTCTAAGTTTTTGAAATTTAATTTGATTTCCTTAGAAAATTATTACCGAATGTCAGTTTGAAAACTTTCATATATCAGCTCCCATTTTAAATTCTTTTTGTGTGTAATTTATTTTCACATAATTATAGGACTTGGAAGCTTATTACAAAAATATATTTATGCTCACTTTAGTAAGTAGTAAGCAATCTGTGAGGCAGATGCAAATATTTTATTGAGTGCATATAATTCTAATTGCATCTCCTATTCTAGTGACTTATGCTCACAAGGATTCCTAAGACCACTAAATCTACCTTTTGTTTTTTGTCGTTAAAAAGAATCAATAATATATGCAATACCACCTTAAAGATGCCTTTAACATTCTTCAAGAGAAAACAAAAGCAATTAAAATACAGAATTTTCATTTCCAAGCAACAGAATAGAGATTTTTATGAATGGGTACACTTCTTATTCATTTATTTATTTGTTAGCTTTTATTTTAGGTTCAGAGGTACTTGTGCAGGTTTGTTAGGTAGATAAATTGCACATCACAGGGCTTTGGCATACAGATTATTTCATCACCCAGGTAATAAGCATAGTACCCCATAGGTAGTTTTTCGGTCCTCACTTTCCTCCCTTCCTCCACCCTCAAGTAGGCTCCAGTGTCTGCTGTTTCCTTCTTTGTGTCCATGACTACTCAATGTTTATCTCCCGCTTATAAGTGAGAACATGTGGTATTTGGTTTTCTGTTCCTGTGTCAATTTGCTTAGGATAATGGCCTCTAGTTCCATTACTGTTGCTACAAAGGTTAAAATTTCAGACTTTTTTATGTCTATATAATATTCCATGTTGTATATTTACCACATTTTATTTATCCAGTCCACCATTGGTGGGCATTTAGGTTGATTCCATGTCTTTGCTATTGTGAATAGTGCTGCAATGAACATAAACATGAATGTCTTTATGGTAGAACAATTTATATTCCTTTGGCTATGTACCCAATAATGGGATTGCTGGGTCAAATGGTAATTCTGTTTTAAGTTGTTTGAGAAATCACCAAATTGCTTTACACAATGGCTGAACTAATTTACATTTCCACCAGCAGCATATAAGTGTTCCCTTTTCTCTGCAGCCTCACCAGCATCTGTTATTTTTTGACTTTTTAGTAATAGCCACTCTGACTGTTCTAAGATGATATCTCATTATGGTTTTTATTTGCATTTCTCTAATGATTAGTGATGTTGAGCATTTCTTTCCTATGCACGTTGGCTATGTGGTATACTTTTTTTTTTTTTTTTTTTTGAGACGGAGTCTCCCTTTGTTGTCCAGGCGCAATCTCTGCTCACTGCAACCTCTGCCTCCCGGGTTCAAGTGATTCTTCTGCCTCAGCCTCCCGAGTAGCTGGGATTACAGGCGCACGTGTGGCACCCTGCTAATTTTTTTTTTTTTTTTTTTGTATTTTTAGTAGAGACGGGGTTTCAGCATGTTGGTCAGGCTGGTCTCGAACTCCTGACCTCGTGATCTGCCCGCCTCGGCCTCCCAAAGTTCTGGGATTACAGGCGTGAGCCACTGCACCCAGCCTATGTGGTATACATATTTTTAAATTAGTAATTTTATTGGAAATTTTTATCTGTTTTTTTAACATAAGGAAATCATAATTCTAATTTCAGAAAATGATTAAATTATTAAGTTATAAAAAATTTACCAGTGGAAAATCATATTTATATTAATCTTGGAATATATTAAAAATTTGATATTATTATAATGTGTTGATTGGGGTATGTGGTGAATAGAACATAGCATAAGATATGGTCCTTGTTCAGCTGATTCAACAATTCCCACTAGGTATGACCAGCAAAAATAAATTCTTGCTAAGAGGTGAAGATACCTAGGGTAGACTGGTAGAATATGCAGATGTTGGGAGAATTTGCTGGGGGTTGAGTCATGATCATTTTATGTAATCAGAAAGGATGAGATTTAGATTTTTCTTAGCTCTTGCTAAGGGCGGGGTATAACATACACATATTTCATATAGTGTAATGAGGGAAAGACTTCAAAACTTGTTCATCCAACATGGATCTACAGTAACCACATGCTGTGCTTCATCTATAGGATATTCTGAAATTTAGACAACTTTATTGAAGGTCCTCAGGTTCTATCTTTCTTACTGAAAAAGGAATAATTAATTTGATTTTCTAAGCTTATATCACTAAATTTTATTCAGCCCTTCATCTCCTTGGACAGTCTTGTCAGGCAAATAAACATTAAGAAAATAGTTTAAAGGTAAGATTATTGTTTGAGCAGTGGAAGATTTCTAAATTTTTCTAAGAAAACTTAGCTAGGCAAGTTTTAGTACTAAGTGGGTAAGAAAATGTAAAGCTTGAGTGTAGCAAAGAGATGGACTACAAAAGAAAAAAGCAAAGAAACAAAACCTTAGGAATTGCAGACTGGTTGCAATTACATTCATTAAACAGTAGTGAATTGGATTAGATACCTGAGATAATCCAATAGAGGAAAGAGATGAGAGGGTGAAATGAAATAGGAAAGATTAATTAAAAATGGGAGAGTAAAAGTGAATACGATTAGTTTGCTAGTGGAAAGATATTTTGGCTTTATTAATTAAGGCACCTAGTGACGTGCTATCACTGGATCAGATGTTCCAACGCAGGTGAACAATGGACTGGAAAAAACATTTTGTAGTCACCCTTCGTCTTACATAGAAAAGACTGGCTTTAATGAAAAACTCTAGCTGTGAGAGAGGCATATGTCTGGAGGAAGAACATGTGGATTGAAGAACAAGGTCTGTTGGCTAAGTTTTAAGTTCAGGTACTTTGAGAGAAGATACAGCTTCTATGCAAATAGCATTTTACTCCCTTACCTCAGTCTCAAATGAAAAACACAACCATTCATACTTTTTGTTTGAAAAAGCACAATTGGGTTGAGGAAGAGCAAAATGCTGTTTTCATGGAAGCTTTATCTGCGAATAATGCCAAGATAGCCCTTCAGAGCAGCTGGTCCACTCCATGGAGTCCTAAATTCCACATTCATCCTTGCTAACTCCTGCTCTTCCATGTACTTCACTTTTTTTACTTTTTAACTTTTTTTCCTGAATCAATCTAATAAGCAAATAGTGGGAAGAGATGGGAACATGGGAAGATCTGAGATATTTCAGTGGAAGAGGGAATGGCTTTGGAAGAAATGAAACCAGGGAAGATATTGGAGATGATGCAAGGTCAGGAAGTGTTTTCTTCTCGTGACAGGAAGCTTGGTGACAAACACAACTTCGAAGCCTCCATGTTTTCACATGAATATGTAAGAGTAGTAAAATTTATGAATGCATGACCGAAATAGCCGAGAAATTCACACTGGGGAAATAATAGGTATTTATGGTATAGCTCTTCTATCTATTCTTCATAGTTTCCACTGCCTCCTGCTGCCTTGCTGTGTGAACCTGCCCTGACCAGATATCTTTAACCGTCTGGTTAAAGATAACATTGTAGGACAGCCACTAAACATTCTACTGTTTTTCATGGTCTGGTCCTCATGACTGAGGATAGAAATAGAATTTGCACACTCCTGGTGCTGCAGCCATTACTTTTTGCAATCATGTTTGTGAGAGGTTAGGTGATTTTCCCTATCTGGATGGGCACTGGCTTCTGAATTGCAGCATAGGACACCTCCAGAAGATATCCTGAGGCAGACAGTCCACTTGTAAGTAACACACAATTGATTTATCATGAATTTAAAGTCTTCTTGTGTCCCAAATGTTATTTATCTTAAGTAGCATTATCCAAGTACCTCTTATTTATTAATTTTAGATTAGAGATTTATTTCCCAATTAGTTTCCCATTTATATTCTAAGTTATTCAGAATACTTCCTTGTTTTTTTTTTGCTTTCTTTCCTTTAAATGGCCTAACTTAAATTATTTTCTGATAAGATACTCAGAATAATTTCTTCTAGCTTTTTAATTGCGATTGTGTTGTAATATCTCCTCAGAGATAGTCTTTTTAAATTTATGATAACTGTAAAATTGGGAGATTTAAAGGAGACAACTTAGAATTTGAAATTATTTAATATCAATCAAACTTTTGACAACGAAGTTAGGATTATTGTGAAGGTAAAATGGTTTGTTGTATGTAGCCTTTTGCCTCATTCTATAATGAGAATTTGAATTTAACCTCGGGCTTTTTTACTTTCTGTGTTTTGGTTATTGTTGTCATTTATAAAATTAGATTTTCTCATTTTATTATGGGAAAAAGCATTTCTATTTTTAATATTTTATATGCATAATGATGAAATAATTTGAAATTGATGTTCAATAATTTTTAGTTTACTTTTTAATAGCAGCTTAAGATTTTTGCAATTTCAATAGTCTGTTCTGTTGGATTTAAGCTTTGGGCAAACACGTTTCTCATCTGAATTCCATCCTACACTTTTGGGCTTTTCCTGGAACCCTCCTAAAATGAGTCTTGTGCTACTTAATTTGACTGAAACATTTACTGTGCTTCCTATGACTCATCGGCTCCTCTCTTTAGATCATCCCATTATTATTTAGCATTATACCCACTCAGCAGTGTGTTTTCTCATGCTGTGAGATTGTATCCAATTTTCTGTGATGCTGTCAAAGAGTCGTATGTCTTCTATCTTTAGGGATCTCAGTGATGGATTCGGCAAAGCCTTCCGAAATGCAAGAATCAGCACCG